>NW_025791753.1:0-300000 GCF_000001405.40 Homo sapiens
GAATTCAAGAAGAGAAAAAGAAACAACCCCATTAAAAACTGGGCAAAGGACATGAACAGACATTTTTCAAAAAAAAAAAAAAATGCAAGCAGCCAACAAACACATGAAAAAATGCTCAGAATCACTAATCATTAAAGAAATGCTCATTAAAACCACAATGAGATATCATCTTATATCAGTCAGAATGGCTGTTATTAAAAAGTTGAAAAAAGAAAAAAACAGAGGTTGACTTGGATGCAGAGCAAAGAGAGAACGCTTATACACTATTGGTGGGAATATAAATTAGTTCAAGCTCTATGGAAAACAGTATGAAGATATCTCAAAGAACTGAAAACAGAACTACCCTTTGACCCAGAAATATTCATAACTGGACACCTACCCAAAGGAAAACAAATCATTATAGGACAATACCATGACAATAGCAAAGTCACGGAACCAACCTAAGTCTAACCTATGGGTCCATCAATAATTGATTGGATAAAGAAAATGTGATATATATACACATCATGTAATACTACACCACCATAAAAAAGAATGAAATCATGTCTTTTGAAGCAACATGGATGGAGGTGTAGAACATTATTCTAAGTGAATTAACTCAGAAACAGAAAATAAAATACTGCATATTCTCACCTACAAGTGGAAGCTAAACAATTGGTACACATGGACATAAAGATGGAAATAATAGACACTGAGGTTTCCCAAAGGGGAGAGGATGTGAGTGTTGAAAAACTACCTATTAGGTACAATATTCATTATTTGGGTAATGGGTGAACTAGAAGCCCAATCCCCACCAGTATGCAATATACCCATTTAACAAACATTCACATGGACCCCTTGAATCTAAAATAAAATAAATATTTTTTAAATGACTGGAATGTGTGAAAAAGGAAACAAAGAACATTTCTAAAATAGAAAGATGCAAAAAATAAATTTTTAAATGCAATGGCTGTTCACTATTTTGTAGTAGCTAAAGTAGGTACTAGTGAATCCAAAGATCAGTCAGAAGAAATTATGCAGAATGCATCACAGCAAAACAGAGGCAGTGAGACATTTTACCATATTTTTACTTGGATTCCTAAACAAAGAGGAGAAAGAACATAGAACAGAGAAAACGTTTGTAAGTAATATTTTAAGATAATGACTGATACCCTACATCAAAAGAAAGCTAACGGGAAGTTCCTAAATCTATAGAGGGTACACAAACATAAAACTACACTTGAACATGTCATGGTGAGTTGGACGAACCAAAAACAATAGTAAAACCAAAGAACAACCACACACATGCATAAATCCACAAGGTAGTGAATAAAACAGCTTACTTTCAAGGCAGCAGAATGGCATTGACCACTAACTACTCAACAGAAATGATGAAAGACGGATGCCAGAAGAATCAGATCACCAAAGTGCTAATAAAAAATAATTGCCAATCTAGAATTTCTAGGACCCACTTTTTAAGAGTAGGATGAAATGCAGACATTCTTGGGCAAACAAAAAAAGAGAGTTTATCTGCAGCATATCCTCAGAAAAGGATGTAATTAAATCAGAGAAAAAGATGAGGATCAAGAAGGTAGGAAACATGCAAAAATCATGACAAGTAGTTTTTGCCATTAAGAAAAAGATGAAACTAATTAATTCCACAAAACAAGTCAAGAATAACTCGTGAATTAGAGGGAGCAGAAATGGAGTTGCCATCTTCAAAGGCACTCATTTTCAGGAGATGTATACAATTTTTGGAAAAACTTGTATTTGAAAAGTTAAGTATGCATTTTGCAATTTTCAGAGAGTGAAAGAATAACAACAAAATACTTATAAACTAGGAAAGGAAAAATCTTGAATAAGAAAATAATCTAACCAAAAAAGCCACATTTAAGTACTATGTTTATTTTGTTAAATTAATTTAAATTTTAAAAAATTATCTTCACTCTATGCAATAATATTTGTGAAATTTTGACTCTGGTGTGTAAATTAACTTGTTTACTGCATTGAATCCTTTGTCATTTTTGTAATACTTTGATTATCTCCATCTAAATATTCAAACATCACCTCTTAACATAACCAGTGGTACACTTTCCATGATTTAGATATGGTGGTCTGACTAGCGTTGAAACTTGAGAGAAGCTAGCCTCAATAACAGGACCCAGGGATAACCATCTAGTTCTCCAGCGAAGGGCCTTAAGCCCTCTGGGGGTCCACCTTGTTGGTTACTCACTAATCAAAGATGTGCCCGGCCCCTAGTTTTCTCCTCCCTGACTCAAGTTCATGTCATTCAACTCTCTGCCTGGTTCACGGACTCATGGTATTCTGCCCTACTCCTGCTGCTTGGCTATCCACCAGTTACCAAAAGCTGAAGTTGATGCAACCACGTGAAATTTCTACAAGACCCTCCCCTCTTTGGGCTCCCATCACATTGTCACTACTGCCAGATGTCATCAGCGTGAGAGAATCAGTGGTGGTCCACAGGAGCATCTTGTTGTCCCTCCCTAAATGATACCAGCACCACTTTCCTCCCAAAATCAATGCTCCCAACCACAATACCCCCCTTGACTTCACTTGTGTTCCCAGCAAGCCATCAAAACTAGCACCAAGGCTCTCTCTAGGAGGCTATAAATATGTATGTTTTCCTTTTTTCTGTCTTTAAATGGTGAGTTAACACAAACAGACCTACGTACACCAGACCCCAAGGTATCAATCTGGATCCCTTCACAGGATCCTTTTCCATTCACAGAACCAAGAAAAAAAAGCAAACTCTGAAGCCCAGCCCTTCCCTCCTCTATTCCGGAGCAGGCAGCTGATGGGACGCAAATGGGGCTGCTGAGCTTCAGGGTGGAAATGGAAGCCAGTGCCTTGTGCTCCTTGTGATGTGAAACGTGTTGCAGCTGCGCAGAGAAACAAGAGTTTTCACTGGACACAGTGCAAGGAGCAAGCAGGATGCCTTTCATGGACAGAAGCTGCATCTGTCTATACTTCAGCCATTCAATCAACAAACATTTCATGATCATCAGTTACTGCTATGAAAGGTAGATGCTGAGGGTAAAACAAGGAACAAGATGAGAATGCCCCACTCCCATATGGCACATGTAAAAGCATAAAAGTCTATCTGAATCATTTTTGAAACAGAAGGCCCATGACATTGCCTGCTGAGTCCACGTTGGCTCTTGTTTGTGGATACCAGCACATATTAAAATTATCTGAAATATTCAGTTGTGAGCCCCCTCCCCTGATATGGTTAGGCTTCGCGTCCCCACCCAGATCTCATCTTGAATTGTAATCCCCATAATCCCCATAATCCCTATTTGTCAAAGGAGAGACCAGGTGGAGGTAATTGAATCATGGGGATGGTTTCCCCCATGCTGTTCTCATGATAGTGAGTGAGTTCTCCCAAGATCGGATGGTTTTATAAGGGGCTTCTTCCCCTTTGCTTAGCACTTCTCCTTTCTGCCACCTTGTGTAGAAGGTGCCTTGCTTCCCCTTCACCTTCCACCATGATTGTAAGTTTCCTGAGGCCTCCCCAGCCATGCTGAACTGTGAGTCAATTAAATCTCTTTCTTTTATAAATTACCCAGTCTCAGGCAGTTCTTTATTACAGTATGAAAATGGACTAATACAGTGAGAAAAAAATAGCTCTGGAGGGCTGGGTTACATTCAGGACATGTACTAAATATTTTAATGCATTTTTTTAGCAAGCACGTAAAATGTCTCCCCCAAGGCTTTAAGCTCTCTTTCTACTTCCCTAAAGGTTTCCCCATCAAAATAGGAAATAAATATTGAAGCTAGAAAAGGCTTGTCCCCTTCAAAGTAAGTAAGGGCACGCTTCATGACAGGCATAACTTTCTTCAGACAGTGGGGGAGGACACTTAATTCCTTCACCAAAGAAAAAAAAAGTTACAAAACAGCAACCTATGGAAACAAAAACATGGAATCAATGCATCGCCTGAAATAACTTCTCTGTAGTCCTGAGGGTGGTGTTTTGTTTGGCTTGTTCTCCTTCCCACCTTTTTATACCCCCCAAGGATCCTTCTCATTCTGTTGTAGCCAGGGCTCCTAGAGAAGGCTGTCAACATTGAAGGGCCCAGATCCCTTCTACCAGTTTTTCTTGTGCTTCCTATGTGCTTGTAACTGTGAATCTCCTGCTTTTCAAACAACTCTTCTGCCTTTTGTATGGGTATACATTAAAGGGGAAAATCAGGGCCTCTTCACACTACTCTGGCAAAATCAACCTGAACTGCTGGATTATAGGTCTTGGCATCTGGAGCTGCCTGCTTGAGCCCTGGCAGGTCTGGAGGCTTGGGGCTCTTTCATTGACTCAGGAAATATTTCTGCTTCCCACCCAGGACTTCTGTTGTCTCTTCCTCCCTTCTCCTCCCCTGCTCTCAGGACTCTTAGATGTAGCCCAGGTTTGCTTCCACACAGTTGACATTGGCGGTGCATGGTCTTCTCCCCTCTACGCCCTCAGATCTCCACGCCTGTGCCTATGACACGTGCCACCTGCACCTGTGTAGCCAAGCCTGGCTCCTCATCCGTGGCCACTCCTGCCCCCACAACCTGCCAGTCCTGCCTCCTTTTTGCCTGCCTCCTGCCTATCTTTACTTCACTGATTTCTTTGGCTGGAAAATATTTCTACAACTTCCCCTCCCACACTCACCTGGGGCTATGACATTGTTGTGCACACTGGTTGGGCCTCGCCCCTGCCACCTAACAAGTACATCCTACAGGCCCAGGAGGGCATTATCTGTGGTTTTGAATTTCTAGTGTCTCGAACTGTACTGGCCCAGAGAGGACCTCAAATATGGAAAACTGAAGTGATTGCTTTCTGCACGCGTTACCTATGCACCCATGCATAACTCACACAAACTTACTGAATCTTCATTTACTCTTCTGTAAAAGGGGAGTAATCAAAGAAATGCACTTTACTAACAACAAGAGGATGGCATAGTTTATCTTTTAAACTGATAAAGATGTTCTGAAATAAGAATCTATGTTTTCAAGGGTACAGGACTTTGGTAGTTACACCATGACAGTAAAGATGCATATTTTAGGAACTTGGTGGGGGATAATTTGACAATACACATCTACATGTTTACATTGTACATACCCTTTGACTGACACTCCACTGTTAGAAATTTGTACTAAGGAAATAATCAGACCTACAACATAAGCACTTAGCTATAGGAATACTGGTCAAAGAGTTGTTGATCATACTCAAAAATTAGAAACAATCTAAATATGCAATAAGAAATATTTAGGCCGGGCGCGGTGGCTCACGCCTGTAATCCCAGCACTTTGGGAGGCCGAGGCGGGCGGATCACGAGGTCAGGAGATCGAGACCATCCCGGCTAAAACGGTGAAACCCCGTCTCTACTAAAAATACAAAAAATTAGCCGGGCGTAGTGGCGGGCGCCTGTAGTCCCAGCTACTTGGGAGGCTGAGGCAGGAGAATGGCGTGAACCCAGGAGGCGGAGCTTGCAGTGAGCCGAGATCCCGCCACTGCACTCCAGCCTGGGCGACAGCGAGACTCCGTCTCAAAAAAAAAAAAAAAAAAAAAAACAACAAAAAAAGAAATATTTAAAATAAATTATATTGCATTCATCTGATGTAATATTATACAGACATTTAGAAAGCTCTTATAGTCAAAGGATAAGTAGGTTACCTTTGGCATATTAAATGAGTAAAACTGATACTAAGTTGATATACCCATTGTGATATAATTTTCTTTGGTTCTTAAATATTTTTATATACCTAAGGAAAAAGATTAAAAGCTTATGAAACCAAAATATTCACAGTTTAGTTATCACAGTCTAGTGTGATTATGGGTAATTTTTATTGTTTTAATTTCATATTTTTCTGTTCAAAGTTCCATTGCTTGTTTAATTAAAAAAAACTTTTAAATAATATTATAAAATGACCATCACAGAAAAAAATATCATTAGGCAATATTGCCATGACTATAGACCTTTCTCCCTACACTGTTATTCTTACAGTTGGATGCTTTGAATCGGGAAGTGATATATCGCCTTGCTTTTCGCTGGAGAAGGAAGCGCCAGCCTTTGTGAGCATGTGTATCACAAGCTAACTAGCACGAAGATTGCATAGCTCTTTCTACATAAGGCTACTGTTCGCAGAAATTTGGTCCATGGTCTCCAGTCTCTTGGGGTCTCACGCTCTGTGAAAATCTTCGTGTTTTTCCCTAGCCCCCAGAGTCACCTTTCACACAGCGTCTGCTTGTAACCGCGGTCCCCACAGGAGTTTGTAGGATTTCTGTGCCAGCGGTGAAGGTGTTCTCACCTCATAGAGCAAGGTAGAAACTACGCAGACAGGCGCTGTTCTTTGGGATGAAAGCAGGGCCTTTGGGGCTCTTTCTTAGTGTCCCCGTTCGGTTGTAGACATAACACGCTTGCTTTGTGTAGGAGATCGGCTCTGCCGGCGCCCAGGGGCCCTAACGCAATTCATCGAGGCCCGCAGGTCAGAACTGCAGTCTCACCTGTCTTGGCGGAAATGCGCTGCGCTCCTCCCTATACTACATAAGCACGAGAATTCCACTACAGAAGAAAACCCCAGGCCTAGTGATGGCGGTTCTGGGCATTTTGCCAGCTTCTCCCAGGGTGTGTTTTCTGACCCCACCCACTTCTGATCTGTAATGTCATGGTCAATAGAAACTACTGGGCCCAAACGGAAAAGGCAAGGAGGAACACAGCGGGAAAGCCTATGGCGTTCCCTGGTGGCTACCCCGGGGACTGCACTCATAGATCCGCGTGTTCCGAGAAGCCTCTGCCATCCCGACCCCGGAGCCGTGCAGAAACCCGCGGCTCCAAAGAAAACCGGCTAGAACGCACAGGAAGCCCAGCCAGTGTTCAGGACACTGCGAGTGGAAGCCGTACGTCCCACAGACTGATCTAGTTTGCTGAAGACGAGCCATTTACTTCTAACCCCAGCAGCGGACATTGCCTTGCTCAAATATAAAATATATGAACCAAGACCGAAAGCAACTCTTATTGCGTTACTGATGAGCAAACGGGTTTTTAGAATGGTTAAGAAATGTCCCTTGTTTTGGGACCGTCATCACTAACGTATGCTTGGGATTCCTGATCGAGGAGTTTCTGAGCAAAGCAGCCCACCAATCCAGTGGCTGAGAACGGCTTGGATATTGGCTTCCAGGCGCATCAGAAATACCGAGGTTCTGACAAAGACGTGAGCTTCTGTCTGCCTTTGGGAAGGCCTTCTTCCAGTCCTGGCGCTGCCGCTTGCCTTCTGTTTGACCTGGGGCCAGGTCCTTCAATTTGCTAGGCTTCAAGTTGGAAAGTGTTACAGGAAAATAATAATGCGAAGTGCTTCTTAGAGTTATTGCACAGATTACAGAAGATAGTCTAATAGTACAGCTAGCATCCTGTATGGTTTACATTAAGGATTTGCTGATAGGAAACAACATCCCAGATAAAGTTTTTTCCCCTTAATTATGAAATATAACAAAGGAAAGTGTGTAGACTTATGCTTCAGACCTCTGTAACATTTGAATGAATTTTGCACTTGTGAAGGTGACATCATTTTACAAAATAAGTTAATACTAAGGAATGACAAGTGGAATTTACAAAACATATATTCACAAAAAGAACTTGTTCTTAGCAGCTTTGTTTACAATAGTCCCCAAACTGGAAAAGGTTCATATGCATCAAGAGGTGAATGGACCTATTGTGATATATTCATCCAACGGAGTACTACCCTCAATAAGATGGGACAAATTATGGAAACATGAGATAGCATGGGCCAATCTCAAAAACCTCATGCTGAGTGATGAAAAGAGTGGATTCTATGTGGTGCCATCAAGGTGAATTTCTAGAACAGGTGAAACTAACCTGTATAGTGGCAGAAAATACATCATTAATTGCTGGGGTCAGGGAGTCGAGGGGACTGACTGCAAAGGGCACAAGAGGACCTTCTGGAGTAGTAGACATGTCATCAAACTTGAAATGGATGCATTGTACCATATTCAACCAATGCCTTAATCAATTTGATTGTAAAAAGTAGTAAGAAAACCACTGCAGGCTGGACGCGGTGGCTCACGCCTGTAATCCTAGCACTTTGGGAGGCTGAGGCAGGCGGATGGGAGGCGGAGGTTGCAGTGAGACGAGATCGAGCCACTGCACTTCAGCCTGGGCAACAGAGCCAAAAAAAAAAAAAAAAAAAAACCTCCGTCTCAAAAAAAATAAAAAAAAAAACACAGCAAATCATAATGCATTCTACTTAATTTAATGTATGTTTAGCTTTAGAGGATTCCTTTAGAAAAGCGTCTCGCTAAATGTGATTGAGAGTTCAGGAATTCCTTCATTTCTGTTTCTGTCTCTTTGTCTTCAGTTAAATTCATGCACTATTAAATGGAATATTTGTAAAATAAAAATAGAGTCTAAGTTCAATTTTACAAAAGCATATATATATATGTGTATATATAATATATAGCTCCCATATATATGTGTGTGTATATATAGAGAGAGCTTTATTTATTGTTTTTTCTTTTGCGGGGGTGCGGGGGGGACAGTCTAGCTAAAATATACATTCTTCTCTCTGTAGATATACCAGAAGAACATGACTCGATCAGTGTTGCCCTAATGTTAACAAAAGTTATTTTGAACTTAAGGTGATCAGAAATTTTACCTATCTGTACTTTTTCTGTATTGGTGGTATGGTCTATGCTAAGCGTGTATAATTAAAAAAAAAGAGAGTAACTTCAAAATGATTTGGAAGAAAAAATATGTACATATGTGAATAGTACTTAATTCCAGGTGATGGGAATATGGATGACTGGTTATCTTCTTCTTTCTGTATCTTTTATATTTTTAAATGGAAAAACTCAACGACCTGGAAGTGAAAGAACAGATTTGGAAGAGGTGTGGGGCAGGTGAGAGGAAAATGCAGAGTGAAACTCTGTCTCAAAAAAAAAAAAAAGGTTACTTGTAATAAAACTCACCAATTTTAAATCTACGATGTAACCATCTAAGGAGGTTTGTAGAATTGTGCAGCCATCAGCAGAGTCACGTTTTAGAATATTTTTGTCATTTCCCCAAATACCCTAAAGCCTCTGCACAGTCATTTCCTAATCTCTGGTGCCCATGACTGGGCCCCAACAAAATAAAAATTTGGAAATCCGACATCATTAAATTTCAAATTTTCTTAGATTGGAATTTTTTGTAGTGAATCATTGTCTTATTTTTGTGACGTTTGAGGAAATATTGCATTTTAGGGACTTTTTTGATGAACTTAATAATAGTCCTGTTCATTGCTCTTCGTGAATTGTTTCATTTTTACTGATAACTGATAGTTGCTACAAAACCTGGTCTGGCGAGCCTAAATGAATGAGCTAAAAAAAGAAAAAAATCTGCTATAAGAAATAGAGATAGATGATGAATTTGCACATAAGATTATGTGGAGTTAGTATTGTACCATCTTTATTCTTTCAGAAATTTGGTTGGTAACATTACAGATACTCCTCACATGGTTGGAATGCCTCTCATTATCTTCTTCAGGTTGCAAGGGCTCCAGAATAGTGACATAAAGGTAAACGTGAGTGCAAGATTTTTGCTGTAGTTCTTTGCTTTTTAATTTTTTTCTCTTAGAGGGATTAGCATCCATGTATCTGAAATAATAAATCAAGAGTAGAGATAGGCATTTGTACTAGTTTTCTATTGCTGCCTATTAACACATGCAACAAACTAGTGGATTGAAACCACAGAAGTCTGGAACAGAGGCTGGGTTCTCTGATAAGGGTTTTAGGAAGCTGAATCCAGGTGTGCCTGGCTATGTAATTATGTGGAGCTCAGGCTACTTCTCCAAGTTCACTTCAGGTGTAGGAGGAATTCATTTTGTGGGAGTTGAAAGACTGGGTTTTCTTTTTCTGTGCTGGCTGTCCCAATAACAGCTCATGGAGTCCTTCTCAAGCTCCCATTCTTCCTGACGTTACCTTCTTCTGACAGCTAGAGAAACCACTGGCATGTATGCAGTGATGTGATTAGATCCAGTTTACACAGGTAACCTCACCATCTTAAAGTCGTATAACTGGCTTATAACAACATAATCACCAGAATGATGTCTCAGCACCTTAACAGGCTTTAGAGACAAGGGTGTGGCATGTTTGGGGACCATTTCAGAAATTCCATCTACCGCAGTTGGACACTCACATTCCCCCATCTGCAAAATACATTCACCCTCTCCCCTAAGGTTTCCAAATTTCATGTCATTAAAGCGTTAGTTCAAAGTGAAAAATGGTATGTAGACCACACCAGATCAAAAATTTAAAATCTTATCTTAATCATCCACACCAAGTATGAATGAGGCTTCTGAGGGTGTCCTTGACATAATTCCCTTCCCTCTATCAACCTGTGAAACTGAACAAACAGCTTATCTGCCCTCAGTGTGCAATGGTGGGACAGACATAGAAAAACGATTCTTTTTTTTTTTAATTTTTTTATTATACTTTAAGTTTTAGGGTACATGTGCACAATGTGCAGGTTAGCTACATATGTATACATGTGCCATGCTGGTGTGCTGCACCCATTAACTCATCATTTAGCGTTAGGTATATCTCCTAATGCTATCCCTCCCCCCTCCTAGAAAAACAATTCTAGTGATTCTTGTTCACAAACGGGGAAAGTGGAAGTAACAAAGAAGTCACTGATCCAAAACCTTTTTGAAATGGGGCTGAGCAGAGTCCAGCAGGAATTGCGTGGTTAGGATCCACAACCTGGAACTAACCTTCTGTGACATGGGGCTTTGCCTCTGGAGTCTGCATTTCTTTCTATCTTTATGGCAATCATTTTATTTTCCTTCCTCTCCTACTCCCTTGGTTCTTCCCCTTTCTCCTTATGGCAGCATCCTCCCCTTAATCCTTGGCACATCATCCCCAGCAGAATTGGTCAAATGTTGCCCACGTCACGGTCCTGACCATCTCCATGAGGGGCTGTCCTTGTGACCCCCTGCTCCCCTGGGACCCTCTTCACTGACCTGACCTCTCTGTCATGATTGCTTTCAGCTGACCTGGCTGGTTTAGGAGAAAACCTAGAATTGTGGAGACCCAGAACCAATCTCTGCCCTCTCTTATCTCCAAGAGAGGAAGAAAATAATAGGTATCACCATGGAGAAATGACCCACATGAGGGCTGAGACTCTCCAGCAGTTAGAGCAGAGGAAACTCCCTGAAGAAGGGAGGAGCTGAGATCCCAGGCTGGGAGAGCAGGCTTGTGTTAAGCATTACTTAATCTTTATGTGCTCCCTGCCTGAATCTACCAGCCAGCGAATGACAACTGACTGAGTAGAAATACTAGGACTACAGAACCGTGATAAAAGGTTTGTCCAAGGAAAAGCCCTTTTACTTTATTTGTTTTCACAGTGGAAATTGCTGTTTTTGATCCAAAGTTTTCTGAAACGCAGCAGTGAGTTCCTGGTGGGTGAGTTAGGTGCTTTGGACCTGGAGGCTGAGGCCAAGGCTTGTGTGGTCGATCTGCTGCCACCATGTGGTGAGGGAGCCTGGGAGAGTCTTAGTCTTTCTTGGCTTCACTTTCCTCCTCAGTGAGGTAGGGGCTTATTGTTCCTCTCTGAGGTCCCTTCCTACTGTGTTTTCTCTGAGTCTCTGAGGAACTGAGATGGTTTTTATTTATTTATTTTTTTCCTTCCCTTTCCCTCCTTCTTTCCTGTGCCCAGTTGCCAATCAAGCCACCCACCTTTCCATTTGCGGGGGAAGGGGGCGATACCCAACCCCCTCTATTACTAGGGGGTTGTTATGGTAACTCCCCACGCGAGGGCTGGGTGGCCTCTAGATAGGACGGGCTGTCCACCCACCCAATTGCTATGGCAACAGTGGAGCCGCTGAGGGAGGGGCCACTCCTTGAGAACTTGGCTGGAGAAACCACGTGGGAGTTGGGGGGCAGAGGAGGGGCACCGGCTGCCTCAGGAATGCCCTTTCCACCCTCACCTAGCAGGTTGGGGAAGCATCGAGGTGCTCTCAGATCTCAGGATAAGGAATCCTACCGCAGACGTGTATCTCTGCACCTCTTTTAACGAAGTGTTCTGCACAAAGGAACTGTTTCCACAATTATTCATTGATCACTGGAGTCGCGCGTGGAGGAAGGGGTGGCGAAGGGGAAGAGAGGGAATCTGCGTTCAGTCCCTTAAAATATTGCTTGGGTTGCCTTAGATCTAGTCATGTTGGCATAGCGCCTACAGCCATTAGCCTCAGTGGAGGCTGGGTAATGCTATCTAAGAACCACGAGTCATGTTCTACCACTGAAATGCTGTGTGACCTTGAGCAAGTTGCTTTGCTTCTCTGAGGTTTTCTTTCACTGTGAAATTGAGGGGGGAGGCTGTATGATCCTCAAGAGCTCTTCTAGCACCAACACTGCCTCTGAAAGACTCCACCACCAGCCTTAATATAAACATCATTTAAGAGAGTTTAATTTAGAAGTCCTTGAAAAATAGCTGAACACATTCCTTTCTGGACCCTTTTTAGCATTTGGGTGCACAGCCAGTCGGCCCCCTTCCCTAACCCCTAGCCCATTTTCCTTGCCACTGCCCTTATTCAAGCCGCTATCCCCATTCATCTCCTATTTGGCCTTCCGGCCTGACTCCTTCAAGTCAATTTTTTTTTTTTTTTTTTTTTTTTGAGACAGAGTCTCACTCCGTCGCCCAGGCTGGAGTGCAGTGGCGCGATCTTAGCTCACTGCAAGCTCCGCTTTCCGGGTTCACGCCATTCTCCTGCCTCAGCCTCCCGAGCAGCTGGGACTACAGGCGCCCGCCACCTCGCCCGGCTAATTTTTTGTATTTTTAGTGGAGACGGGGTTTCACCATGTTAGCCAGGATGGTCTCGATCTCATGACCTCGTGATCCACCCGCCTCGGCCTCCCAAAGTGCTGGGATTACAGGCGTCAGCCACTGTGCCCAGCCTCTATTTTTTTTTTTAAAGACAAAGTCTTGCTCTGTCACCCAGGCTGGAGTACAATGGTATGATCTCTGCTCACTGCAACCTCAAGCTTCCGGGCCCAAGCTATCCTCCAGCCTCAGCCTCCCAAGTAGCCAGGACCACAGGCAGTGCATGCCACCACGCCTGGCTGATTCTTATATGTTTTGTAGAGATGGGGCTTTGCCATGTCGCCCAATCTGGTCTCAAACCCCTGGCCCCAAGTGATCTGCCCGCCTCGGCCTCCCAAAATGGGGAGATTACAGGATCCCTTGAGGACAGGAGTTGGAGGCCAGCCTGGCCAACATGGTGGGGTTTTTTTTTTTTTTTTTTTGAGACAGTTTTAGTTTAGTTTAGTTTTTTTGTGAATTTGTGAATTTGTTTTTATTGGGGAACAGGACACAGGGTGGAAAATGTCATCTTGGTGGAGACAGAGTTTTGTTCTCGTTGCCCAGGCTGGAGTGCAGTGGCACAATCCCGGCCCACCGCAACCTCCGCCTCCCGGGTTCAAGCAACTCTCCTATCTCAGCCTCCCGAGTAGCTGGGACTACAGGCGCACGCCACCACGCCCAGCCAATCCTTTGCATTTTCAGTTGAGATGGGGTCTCACCATGTTGGCCAGGCTGGTCTTGAACTCCCCATCTCAGGCGATCCACCTGCATCGGCCTCCCAAAGTGCAGGGATCACAGACATGAACCACCACAACCGGCCAAGCCTGACAGACATGGTGAAACTCTGCTGAGATGGTTTTTAATGCCACCCAGGACCTGCAGCTGAGACCTGACTCTGTGTGTCTCCTGCAGGAGCCTGAGCTGAGTCCACACACTGGAAGCCCAGAACTGAGGGAACAGATAAAAGAAAGAAAGTCAGCAGGTTTAGGGGATGAGAACAACTCACAAAGCACAAGCCATTGGTAAATGAAAACCAAAGAAGGGGGGAATAAGGACAAGTTGGGATAGAAGCCTCAGGGGAAATGGGCAATGCCTGTCATCATCCAAACTCTCAAGGAGCAGCGCGAGCTGAGCAGTGGGGACTGAGAGAGAAATTTACTCCACAGGAGTCTCCTGCCCCTGGCCAGGGAGAGCCACAGGCTGGATGACATCTGGTTTATAGTGAGGGGCAGCAGCAACTCCAAGAGGGGGAAGATGTGACCATGAGCCCCGCCCCAGACCCAGGAGGCTTGACCTTGGGGCTGCCGTAGCAGTGGATGCTCTTCAGGTCAGTGTGGGTTAGAGGGAATAACCATGCTGGGAGAAGGGTTGGAGACATCCATTCTTATGTTAAAAAGCTCTGCCCTAGGTCAGGTGCTAGAGTAAGTGTCCCTTGCTAGTATACAAAGCAGTGATACTTATAATATTCTTCTGTACTTACAGTTGAAGGAGGTTTCCAAATGATAGCTCATAAATATTTATTGGTGTTTAATTTTCTTTACGCTGTGTTAAACACTTGGGATTCAGATATTAATGTCTCCCCAAAGGAACTCAAGCCCATGAGAGAAAGAACAGAAATATAGCTTTTTAAGAAAATATGAAAGTTCCCCCACATTGGGGTGCTGTGGCAACCCATAGAGTGGGAGTTTAGGTGAAGACATTGCTCCTAATGACAGGGGGAACCATAAGAGGACTTCTTCAGAACAGACTCATTTTCCTCCAATGTCCCACAGAGAGGGATCCTGGGGCATGAATGGTGTAAGGCAAGGGCCAGTCTAAGGAAAGGGATTTGCTGCATCCTGGGAGAAATCTCAGCATCCCTGACAGGATATTTGGGACAGGAATGCAGGTGAGAGGAGGTTTGCAATCGCTTTTATTCAATAATTGATGAACACTCTCCTGAGAACTCCCTCAGTGCTAGACCCTGAGCTGGGAACCATGAACACAGAGATTAGCAAGATATGATCTCAGCTTTGACAGAACTCTCAGTCTAGTGACCAGCGATTCCTGAGAAGTATGGTGATGGTGGGTTCACTGGAACCAGTGGCCCATGCTGCATGGAGATGACCTCAGTGGATGGCCTGGTCTCTCTTCTGTTTTTTTCAAATAGCTGAATGACCTATCCTGGGCCCGTGACCCTGGACTTCAGCCAGATCAGCATCTCAAGGTACAACCAACATCTTGGCTCCATGATGGGTCAAAACAGTTAACACAGCCAAGGTATTCAAGGTATCAGTAGCTACTGACTATGTCCTGGCCAGCTGTGAAAAGAAAGGGGTGAATTTAACAAGTATTCTAAAATTGTCCTTGACATAGTAATCACAGATTATCTATCTTCTGTCTGGTAATATATATATATATATGTTTTTGTTGTTGTTGTTGTTGTTTTGTTTTTTTGTGACGGAGTTTCGCTCTTTTTACCCAGGCTGGAGTTCAATGGCATGATCTCGGCTCACTGCAACCTCTGCCTCCGGGTTCAAGCGATTCTCCTGCCTCAGCCTCCTGAGTAGCTGGGATTACAGGTGTGCACCACCACGCCCGGCTAATTTCCTATATTTTTAGTAGAGATGGGTTTTCACCATGTCGGCCAGGCTGGTTTTGAACTCCTGACTTCAGGTGATCCACCCACCTCGGCCTCCCAAAGTGCTGGGATTACAGGCATGAGCCACCACTCCCAGCCTCTGTCTGGTAATTTAAATGCTTTGGAGACTCCAAGATTCACCCATGTCCAAAATAAATTCTATATCAGTCATAGTACTAGCATTTAGAAGTTGTGTGTTTTATCCTCTAATTATAGATGAAATACCTAAGGTGGAAAGGAGTAAAGCAGCTTCCATGAATGTAGTGAGAATGTAGGGGGGTTAGGGACTAAAGTCCTGCCTTAGGATTCCCCAGCAGTTGCCAGTCACAATTTTTGTACTCTTAGAAACAACAACAACAACAAAAAAATGACAACCTGTTTTGTTCCTCTGCTTACCCTATCCAATTCTCTACACCATAACATCTCTGCTTATCAAGACAACTTGGATTCTCAATTTGTTGAGCTCAACAAATGCATCTCTTGAGCCCCTGTGGGTAAAGCATTATGCTAGTTACGGCGGGTGATACAGAGGAAGAACAGAAGAGTCCTTAGTGACAAGAGCTTAAGATTTCTGCTCTCAGCTCAGCCTGAGTTGCCTGCAGGTGAGAAAATCAGTAGCCGACACCCACAGGTGCATTCTGGTGAAAGGGTCGATGATAATGAATAGTGGTTCTGACAGGGCTGGGCTCTTAACCTCCCAAAGATGCTGGTCAAACAGGATCTGGAGGATCTCTGCACATAGTGTCTGACTACTGACTGTCATAAGTGAATGTCACCAAGTCTTGGCCTGGATCCCCTCCCTTTGTTTCATTTCACAGATTACATGTTGACAGCAGGAAAATCAACAGAAAGACCATGAGGCTAGACTCCAAAAGACTTAGTAATGCTGCTGGGTGGGCCATGAATTTTTAAAAACACATGAAGGGCCTTCTCAGAAGTGAAGTTTTAGGAAATATAAAATGCATAGCTGGGATACATTATAGTGTACTGATAGAACAAATATTGGATATAGCAGCATCTAATAACTTCTGGAGGAAAAAATATTTTTCACATTACTCCAATTATGGCCTTATATGACAAAAAAGAAAAAAAAATCCCTAAGAGAACCACTAACATCCACTGGTTTTGTAGAAACAGGATACCCTTAGTGCACTTAAAGTTGGAAAAATGGCTCTGCCTTTAGGGCCATGCAATGAAACAGACTGTGTGGTAGTTGACACAGGAAGAGCAGAGCAGAGTTTATAACAATGGCCACAAGACAGTTAAGAAAATGCTTTGGGGCTTTTAAGCAGCAGATAAGGTGACTCAGAGGAATGTTAGACAATCGCAGAAAAGCAACTTCAGCAAAGTTTTTGATTCAGTAGGCACTGCATACTTAGTCCATGCTCTGCATCTGTTCTTTCACAGTCTGTCCCTTCATCGACTTGGGCCTACAATGACTTTTCTGGGAGGGGAGAGGGATCAACACAACAGCATGCACACACCTGAAATAAAGAATGAATTTCTGATTTTCAGATTTTAGTCTCTGACATAACCAAAGAAGTGACTACCATAGATGTTAACTTTTTTTTTTATTATTATACTTTAAGTTTTAGGGTACATGTGCACAACGTGCAGGTTTGTTACATATGTATACCTGTGCCATGTTGGTGTGCTGCACCCATTAACTCATCATTTAACATTAGGTATATTTCCTAATGCTATCCCTCCCCCACCCCCCCAGATGTTAACTATTAATAACATAAATGATGCTCACAAATATGCAGATCTTATAATAACGAGGTAAAATAGCTTAAAAAATAGATGGTAGAACTGTAGTCCAGGGACACTAATAGAAGTGACCCATAACATTACATCATCTCCACTTCCAACAAAAATCAGGCAAAAGAAGGAAGGAGACTGGCAACCCAATGCACAGAACTATATATAACAGGCATACTAGTTATTGGTTGGTTATAAACCAGTGGGAATAAATCTTTTTTATATACTGACTCTTGGTTTATGTCACTGAGGCACAGCATGGAACAATAGAAAACCGGACTGTAAGATAAATTCATTTGAGTAACTGGACTTTTGTAAACCATTAGACAGACATTTGAGAAACCAAATTTAAAGCTGTTCATGAGCCATGTTAGCCTATCAAGGTTGAAATTCAGGAGAGATACATAACGAAAAATAAATGCTTTTTTTTTTTTGTGACACTGTGATCTGATGCATTGGGAATGTGATCTTGTGAATCACTCAGGTGAGCAAGCTTGACATGAGTGGGCATAAAGGTCAGTAACTGAAGAGGTACCAAAATGTGCTACATGTGTCAATTGTGACCTAAAGAACTGAAGGCATTCACCCTCCCTTGAAGTAATGAAGCTGACACAGCAGGGGGCTGCAAATTCCACTGCAGATCAGGGTCTTGAAGCTGACATACTGAAGAGTGGACTCCCACTTGAGATACAGAGTAGGAACTACTGTTTCCTACGGCTACTGAATATCCCACAAACTAACCTCCTCAGCATGCCATTATTAATTATTTTAAAGCTCTTAAAGGTCTCATTTTATAATAGATCACATCAGAAGGAAGACTAATAAGGATCAGGTACAAACTCATACTTGCTGGACATATCATTGCATATCATCCCAAAGTTTTTGGCACTACATAATGTTGGAATAGATTCTTGAATATTAAATTTTAAACTAAGGGAGAACATTGGCTTCTAAATTTTACAACTATAGTATTGCAGCTAAACACAAGTGCAGATGGGCAGCCTTATAACTGCATGAGTAATCTTAAGGAAAACTTATTGGTGAACATACAGAACATTTCACATGCATTTGTCTACAAAGGACAAACTCTTCCCAACCTCAGAACTTGATATGCGTTAGGACATTCCTCTCCCTTGGGCTGGTGATAAAGCTCCAATTGAAATGAGAAAGATTCTTCATGCCTGGTAAATACGCAAGTTTCCAAAGATATTGCCACTGGCCGATCAAACCTGAATCCAAAAAGCATTTGTTTCTAGCAGGATATAAGATCAATATGCAAAAATAAATTGTGTTTATGCAATTGCACGGCAGAATTTAAATGTAAAAGGAATACCATTTACAATAATGTCAAGTGTATAAAATCCATAAATGTGAATATGACTGAAAATTAGAGCACATTTCACGGAGAACATAGTGCAGGCCTAATAACTGGAAAGATATCGTTTGCTCATGTGTAAGAATATTGTTGAGATGTTCATTTCCCCTAATTTGATCTATGAATTCAATGCAATCCGACTCAAAATTTCAGCATGCATCGTTGGTAGAAAATGGCAGCTGATTCTAAAATTAACATGAACTAGCATAACCAAAATGCCTGTATAACGAAGTGCAAAATTGGAGGGCTAGCTCCACCTGATTTAAAGAACAATCACAGAGTTGTAATGGCCACAACAGAGCTTTGGTATGTGATCAATTAAATGGATCAAAAGAAAATAGAGTCCAAATATAAATGAACACATATATTGAGAACAGATTTTTGACAATCTTGAAACAGCAATGTATTTAAAAATGCATAATATTGCAACAAACGATTGAAGATTTTCTTTTTAAGCAATGGATGTGACATATTTGTAACCATATAAAAATAAACAAGTAGAAAAAACTGAATTCATGTGTCATATCACATATTAAAATTAGTGGTTACAAGAGGATGGGAAGGAGATAGGGGAGAAGGAAGAAAAGATATTGGTTAATGCATATAAAATATAGTTAAATAGAAGGAATAAGTTCTAGTATTTGATAGTATATTAGGGAGACTATAACTCAAAATAACTTCTTGTATATTTTAAAATAACTAGAAGAGAGGAATTGGGATATTCCTAACATAAAGAAAAGATAAAGTTTTGAGGTGACAGATATACTACTTACACTGATTCGATCATTATAAATTGTGTATGTTTATCAAAATATCATGTGTATCCCCAAAATGTGTGCAACAATTATACATCAATTAAAATAATGAAGAGTACATCTTAGACAAATTAACAATGATTCCAATCCCATCGAGTATCTTTTCTGACCACAATGGTATGAAACTAAAAATTAACTACATAAGGAAAACTGGAAAATTAAAAAATACATGGAAATTAAACAACTTGCCTTTGAACAACTGATTGATCAAAGAACAAATCAAAAGGGAAATTTGAAAATATATTGAGGCCAACAAAAGTGAAAACAAACATAACAAAATCTTTGGAAACAGCAAAAACAGCTCTTAAGAGTCAAGTTTATAACCATAAATGCATACATTAAAAAATTAGAAAGACTTCAAATAAACATTACACCTCAAGAAACCAGGAAAAAAACAACAAAATAAATCCAAAGTTCACTGAAAAAAGGAAACAAAAATCAATGCAGAAGTAAATCAACTGAAGAACAGAAATACTACAGAAAAATAATAAAAGTGAGTTGTTGGTTTTTTGTTTTGTTTTGTTTTGTTTTTTTCCTTTTCCTTTCTCTTTCTTTTTCTCTTTTTAGGAGAGACAACGTCTTACTATTCTTTCCAGGCTGATTGGGAACTACTGGCCTCCAGTGGTGATGCAACGTAGGCCTCTCGCACCCGAGTTGTTTTTCTGGAAAAAGTAAAATTAACAAACACTTGGCTAAACTAACTAAGAAAAAAATAGAGAAGACTCAAATAAATAACATCCGAAATGAAAGTGGAGGCATTACAACAGAAGCCTCACAAGTAAAAAGTATCATAAGAAACTATTATTAGGCCGGGCGCGGTGGCTCCTACGTCTGCAATCCCAGCACTTTGGGAGGCCAAGGCGGGCGGATCACGAGGTCACGAGATCGAGACCATCCTGGCTAACACGGTGAAACCCCGTCTCTACTAAAAATACAAAAAAATTAGCCGGGCGTGGTGGCGGGTGCCTGCTACCCAGCTAGCTACCCAGTAGCGTGTAGTCCCAGCTACTCGAGAGGCTGAGGCAGGAGAATGACATGAACCCGGGAGGCGGAGCTTGCAGTGAGCCGAGATCGTGCCACTGCACTCCAGCCTGGGCGACAGAGCGAGACTCCGTCTCAAAAAAAAAAAAAAAAAGAAAAAAGAAACTGTTATTAACAGCTCTATACCAACAAATTGGATAACCTAGAGTAAATGGATAAATTCTTAGAAACACACAACCTACCAGGATTGAATCAAGAAGAAACCGAAAGCCTGAACGACCAATAACAAATAAAAGGACTGAAGAACCTCCCAACAAAGAGAAGCCCAGGACCAAATGGCCTCACAGCTCAACTCTTCCAAACATTCAAAAAAGAACCGGGCGCGGTGGCTCACGCTTGTAATCCCAGCACTTCGGGAGTCCAAGGTGGGCAGATTACCTGAGGTCAGGAGTTGGAGACCAACCTGATCAACATAGTAAAACCCTGTCTCTACTAAAAAAATACAAAAATTAACCGGGGGTGGCGGTGCCTCCGTGTAATCCCAGCTACTTGGGAGGCTGAGGCAGGAGAATCGCGTTGCAGTGAGCCGAGATGGCGCCACTGCACTCCAGCCTGGGAGACGGAGCGAGAGTCTGTCTCAGGGAAAAAAAAAAAAAAAAGAAAGAAAAAAAAGAAAACGAAAACCACTGCAAATCATAATGCATTTTGTCCACTTTCTGAGAATGTGATTTCCTCTTCCTGTGGAAACAGCAATAATTTTTATGAGGGGGTGCTGCCCGGACCCCACTGGAGGAGTGGGTAAGATGAGGATTGTGCTCGGTGTTGCCTCCCTACAGAACCACACATACTGATCTGTAATACCTGTGGCCCCTAAGTGTCCGTGAAGGGACTGGTCCCTTTACAACATTGCGTATGGCTGCGGAAACCCACTATGTGGCAACAAGATGTATATGTGTGGGTTGGTGGTAAAACCATTATAGGCAACGGAAATTCAAAATGTTCCAGAACTCTTAAAAGTTCGCCTCATGTAGTATTTGGTTTCTTGCAGGGGGACCCAAGCCCCCGGGGCTGTGGTCAGCTACCTGTCCTGGGCCTGTTAGGCACCAGGCCGCACAGCAGGATATGAGTGGCCCGCAAGCGAGCATTCCAGCCTGAGCCCCGCCTCCTGTCAGATCAGCGGTGGCATTAGATTCTCATAGAAGCACAAACCCTATTGTGAACTGTGCATGAACGGGATCTAGGTTGCGCGCTCCCTACGAGAATCTAATTAATGCCTGATGATCTGAGGTGGAACAGTTTCATTCCGAAATGATCCTTCCCTCTTTTCACGTCCCCCACCCCTGGTCCAAGGAAAAATTGTCTTCCACGAAACCAGTCCCCGAGGCAAAAAAGTTTGGAGACTGCTGGTCTACAGTGTCCCAAAACCCTTTTCTATGGTTCCTTCCCAAAGCCTGGAGGCTCTAAGTCCTCCCCTGTTCTTATACTCCTGTGTGTGGAGAAAAATAGCATTTCCTATGCTCTGAAGGTTCTCCAGAACATTCTTTCTAGGCAGCAGGATGGAGATTAATAATAACAGAATATTTGGCATGGCCTTGTTAGCCAATCCAAAGCCCTCTGGGCTGAAGTGGGGGTTTTTCACTTCAGGGTCATCCAGCCTGGGTACCTTCCATCTCAGCATCCCCAGGCACAGACAGGAAGGTGACATCACCCCATTTACATGATGTCTGTCTTTGTGGCCTGGGCCACTGGGTGGCTTACCTCAGAGGCGGAGATGTCAGAGATGGGTGTTCTGGGCATGATTAACAAAGGGAAAACTGAGAGCGTTCCTACTGAAGCCCCTTCTCCTTTCAGCTCCCACCCAGGTGGCCTGTCCTCACGGGCCTTGGAGTGGAGACTTGAGCCACCACCTGTCAGAGGTGGAGACTTCACAGGCACAGCTGGAGCCAAGAACCCTGGTGCCCAATTGTCTGTGACTGCAACTGGATCAAGGGTTTGACTGTGGCTATGGCTTAGCCAGGCGGGATGTTTCCTCCACCACCTGCAGCTTCACAACCAACGGTGATCCTGGGAACCAATGGCCCTTCCAAGGTAGAGAAGGAAAGGGGACCAGGAAGCTCTCATCCGGGTGTCCTGGTCATGGTGCTGTGAGGGGAGGAGGCAATGGGGTCTCTTCGTGCTCCCTCAGAGTCGAGCAGAAATCCACAATGTTCCAACCCAGTGAGGTGAGCAAGAGCCTGGGGTTTAGGATCAAATCTGCTCTCAGGTCCTGGGCTTAACCCTTACTCATTATTCATCTCGGCCAAGTTATTTGTGGTGTTGGCATTTACATCTCAGTCCTGTCATCTGAGAGACCTGAAAAATAATATCTACATTCCATCATTGTTGATAACATTAATTATGATAATTTCCAAAGGGCTAATTCAGTAAAAATTGCTTAATAAATCTATGAATAGATGTTATCTAATTCTGTTATCTTTCTGGTAAGTTAGCACTCAGGAAATGACTTCACGTGCATTGTTTCAACTGAGGAAGAGTAACTGTTAGGATCTCTACTTTCTAGAGACTCCCTTCCTGTGTTTACTTAGAAAGTATCTTTTGCCAGTTTTCTTTCTCTTCCTCAGCATCCCTTTTTAAGTCAATTTCCCCCTGTCATGCACTTCAGTAACAACCTATTAGGCACATTAGTAAAAGTGCAAATCCTGGGCCCACAAGTCAGTCTCCTGACATACCCAGCTTCTTGCTCTGTTTTCTCCCCTCGTTTTGAAATAAAAGAATGAAAGGGCAACCTTCTCATGGAAAGGGTATAAATCTGTCTCTTTTATGAAACTCCATTTAGTTCATCATCTCCATTCATGCCCACGGCCATGTCCTCAGTTTTCTTCTCACAGGGATCCACTTCTGCCCAGATTTCCTTAAAACCCTGGGTTGTGTTCATCCTTACTCTCCGTCCCACTCAATATCTACTCCTGGAGCCCCTGGGGCTGCCTGGTGCTCATCTGTCAATCGATGACCCCAGCCGAGGAATAAGGAGACCCACGTCCTCAGGAGGAGGGAGGGTCACGTGAGATAACGAGCACCATCTGGGTCCATGGAGAAGACACATGGAAAACGCTCAGTGAGTGTCGGGGGATGCGTAGTCCCTGACACGTGCCCTGATAACTTTGAGTATTTAAACTGATTTCTTCCCACTGGTGTCTCTTTTGCTTCTCCATGGATTCCTGCACCCCTAGTCAGGACTCACCCCGCTGGCTCCAACACTCTTACCTGCTGGCTTTCCCAGGAGTCCGGATCACTAACCAGGTTCCAGGCAAGAGGACAGAGTGAATGCCTTTTGTTTCATTGTCCTTTACCTGGTGACTTCTCCTTGCTGTCTAATAGGGCATTTGTTTCTCACCATGTCTTCTCTCTCTCGTTCATCTTATTTTTCTAAAATTTTTTCCAGTTTCAGTGGACCAGATTATAATGTTAGTGATTATAACGCTAATTCAACATCTTCCACATCCTTATGTAATAATTTCTTCCAATAGATTTATATATATAAATATATGCATTTATGTCATTGGATATATATATTATGCATATTTGGCATGTATTTTTAATAAAATGTAGATATATGCTATATACATATCTGCATGCTCATTTCATCAATATCTCATGTTTAGTCTATCCAATTCTTTTCTCTCATATGTTCATTTAATGTTGAGTTTTAGAATCTCCTCCCTCCCAAAACACAGCCTGTATCCAGTCTGACTTCCTTGCCTTTGCCTTATCTACCTGGAAACTATTTGTGTTTATTAATCCTAAATTTTTTGAATATGTTTGTCAGTTGGGATCACCTTTTCCTCCTGGCAATCTTGTCATTACTGGGTGATGCATGAAAAATCAACAATACAGAAAATACCAAAATGTCTTTCCTGGCTTCCCTTTACCCGTTGGACTTTCTTATTCAAGGCCGCTTTCCTTCTCTGATGATCCTCTTGGGTGGAAGAGAAAGTCACAGTAAGATCATGGATGACAGTGAACACTGTTGGGTGTGGTTTCATTTTCAGAGCTGGGTTTAGAGCCTTCCCTTGAATGAAGAACCCTCCCCAGCTGGAAGGTGATGCTATTGAAGGCTCAGCTGACAACATACATGGGCATCAAGTCATTGGCCACATTCATGTCTCAAGTGTCCTAAAACCGAAGATGATCAAAAGAAAACTGCTGTTCAGCAAGTGGAGACTGGCATGCAGATTCCCTGGCCTGCAAGCTTAGAGCAGGAAGGTAATCACATCTATGGCTCTTAGCTGCACTCACTCCTTATTCCTCTCTGTCTATGATGACAGCTCCTTCTCCCACTGCTTTTTTCTTCTGTATTTGTTCTCTCCAGCAGCTGCTGTCACCTCTGTCTGGTATTACCTCTGTGTCCCATGGGCTGCCATGCTGCCAGGTCCTTCTGATCCCCATCCCCTGTTTGCTCTCTGAACTCTGCTCTGTTCCCACTGCTGTTGTCCTAAGAGTCCCTCTCATGGCCGCAGGAGAGCCCAACTTCCTTGTCCCCCTCCAAGTGCATGGTGTGAGCTGCTAAACACAGGGTTCTTTGCCTGGAATTGCACAGCTTGAGTAATTTGCCTTTCCTTTCTGCATCCCAAACTCCATTGCCCCTTTCCGCCAGGAGCATTGCTTTAATACATCATTTACACACAGATTTTTCTCTTGGGACAGCTTTTGAGCAACACAACTAAGTCAAACTGTAACCCTCACCTTGTACATGGGAATGAGAAGTGTTAAAACTGAGCACTAAGAACTCCAAATCAAAAACTAAATTAGAACCTGGGTCACAGATGAGAGTTCCCTACTAGCCTGGAGTCAGGTGTGTCTTCATCTCTAGATGGGCAACCTTATGCCAGCGTGGATGAAGTTTCCAGGGACTGTGTCTGCTCCTCATGGACTCACTTAGCTGACATTAACTGGAGAACATTTATGATATTCCAAAGGGACCTCATCCAAAGATAGATGCAGAGGGCAGGGCAGGACTTTGAACCTACATAGACCACAAAGTGCATTCTCACCTCTGTCCTTTTTATTCACATATTTACTTCTACAAGCTCAGTTAGAGTCTAAAACACAACTCAGGTGAATCTTGAGGACAGAGAAATAAGAGAGCATTTAATGAATTAACTTTGAGAAAAGTGAGTCCAGGGGCCAGCTTTATGTCTACACAAGATGATAGACAAGAACCTATCTACAGGACAGACTTTGCCTCAGACCAGCCCAAGTGAGAGATTTAATTGAAATAGTCAGAAGAAAGACTAAAATCCACAGAGCCACAGAGAATGAAGGCAATCACGAGAGAAATGAGGATAGGAAAGAAAATGATGGGAAATCAGGTTGGTTCATTCATTGTCTCTAAATCCTGCTACCATGTAATAAGCACCTGGTGAGATTTCAATAAAGATGAATGCCTTGAACTGACATCTTGAGATTCTCACTTAAATGGTCTGGGGTGTGATGTGAGCATCAGTACCTTTAAAAAACTTCCATGATATTCTAATATACAACTGAAGATGACAAGGACCACTGGTCTACTCTGACCTCAGGTTTTCAACATGGAGATGACCACTTGTGTGGCTACTCCACACAAAAGGCGGAATATCCATCAGACATTGATGGGATCTGTATTCACCTCTCAACAGTAGTATTTGTAGAACGTAGAAAAAAATTAAAAAGAAAAACAAGAAAATAGATGGATTAGACCTGTAGTCTCTCTACTTAAAGCACACTTGCTTAATTTTGAGTACAAGTAAAATAAGAAATAGTCATTATATTGAAACCCAGTATACAGAAAACAATACCTCGTATATTACACATATTCAGATTTAGTATTTTCTTTTAAATTTTATTTTATTGTATTTTATTTTTAAGACAGAGTCTCGCTCTGTCACCCAGGCTGGAATGCAGTGGCGCAGTCTCGGCTCACTGCAACCTCTGTCTTGCGGCTTCAACAATTCTCATGCCTCAGCCTTCTGGGTAGCTGGGATTACAGGTGCCTGCCACCACACTTGGCTAATTTTTGTATTTTTTAGTAGAGGCATGGTTTCACCATGTTGGCAAGGCTGGTCTCGAACTTCTGGCCTCAAGTGATCCATCCACCTCTGCCTCCCAAAGAGCTGGGATTTAGGCATGAGCCATCATGCCCAGCCTTCTTTTCAATTTTAAAATAAATCCTGCAGTTTACATTTCCACACACTGATTCCACAGCCCATTAATGGGTTCGGCACTGCAATGTAAAAATTCTGCTTTGCTCAATTCTTGTCATTCAGCCAAATCCTCAAAGAGAACTCGTAGGTCTCACTCCACTAGACAGAATATAATAATAAGTAAAAACTGAAACTTGGCCGGGCATGGTGGCTCATGCTTCTAATTCCAACACTTTGGGAGGCTGAGGAGGGTGGATCACCTGAGGTCAGGAGTTCGAGACCAGCCTGACCAACATGGCAAAACACTGTCTCTACTAAAAATACAAAAATTAGCCACGCATGATGGCACGTGCCTATAATCCCAGCTACTCGGGAGGCTGAGGCAGGAGAATCACTTGAACCCGGAAGGCGGAGGTTGCAGTGAGCTGAGATCACACCACTACACTCCAGCCTGGGTGACAGAGTGAGACTCCATCTCAAAAAAAAAAAAAAAAGAAAAGAAATAATAATAATAAAAAAACTGAAACTCAGGAAGAGATGATATATGAATACTTTTTTATGCTACCCTTGCTGCTGGCATGAAATTCTAAAAAGAAATCTTTCCCAACAAACCACTCTGGGAAAAATGTAACAGGGAGAGGAGAATGTAATAAAACACAAACTAATCCTTTTCACTTTCTACTTCAGAGTTTTGTTGATCAGATATTGAGCATGTTTCTAGAAATGCCTTAAGGTGTAACCAGGTGTGGAATCAACTTCAGGGAATTAGGGATAATAAGTCGGGCCATGGTTGCAATCACCACCCTTCCTTTGTAATTCCATTTGACTCTTTCCTTTTCTTCTGATCCTTTTTGGAAGAACACATAATATTTCTTTTGTCTTTTTCTCATTTTTTATTTTAACCAACAAAACAAGCAGCAGTGACATCATATTTCTTTGTAAAAGCTCATTCCTATCCTAGCCAAGGTGACCCAGCAACCTCTAGTGACTGTTGAGAACTCCAGATTGGAGAATTGACTCTCCCTTCTCTCTAACTTATTGAAAGAGACTTTGTGCGTGGGTTCTAGTTTCAGGGTTGTCCATTGCAAGTCATGTGGCTTTAGTTAAGTCAGCCCTGTGGCATCACTGCTCCTCTGTTGTAAAAGGCAGAACTGGATGTGGATGCGGTCTGAGGTCCTTCCTGTATCTCACCTCCAGGGTTCTTCCCATGGCCCTGCGCACCCTTCCCTAAGAGACGGGGACATGGAGTTGTAAGGGAGTGGGTTTCTCTGCAAAAGGTCCTTTCCTTCTGCAGCCTTCTGTTTCTGAGCTTTCATGGTTGATGCTGAGAACATCCTCACTGAGGGGTGTGAAAAGCCATTACTCTGCTCCAGACACTGGGGATCAGGAGGAAAGGGGCTGCTCGTTGGGCAGAGCTAGGATCCCTATATCCTTCACCTCAAGCTGACTGGAAGTTCAGGGGTGTTTATTTTTCACTTGCGGATGGCACTTGCCTCTTCACTCAGCCTGAGGCTCACCCTTCAGCTCATCCTCCTAGCAGGAGCTCAGTTTGCCCCGGGCTATCACCACTTAACAGTCCCTCTAGACTCAGCCATCAGCAGGACCTGACAAAGATGCCCATTTGATCTTTCCTTCTCTCTCTCCTACAGATACTAAATGCTGCTGGAACAATGAAAAGAAAGAACGGATGTCACAAAAAGCATTTTCATTTGATGAATAGAACTAAAAGAGCAAAGCAATTGAAAGCTTAACACAACACAGGAGGGATCCATGGCTGAGGATTGTATTTCAGAACCACTGACTGCTCTTGACAATTGTTAACCCACTAGGCTCCTTTGGTTAGAGAAGCCACAGTCCTTCAGCCTCCACTTGATACCAATACTTAGGAAGACCAAAGCCAGATGGACAAACAGCATTGAGAGGCTTTAGCCCTACTCCTCTCAGCTTCCATCCTGTAGAGAACAGGAGTCAGGAGCTGCTGGCAGGAGACAGCATGTCACTTGGGACTCTGCCAGTGCAGAATACGAACAATGCCATGTTCTTGCTAAAAATGCTTAGCTTGAGTTTCATAGGAGGTAATCACCAGATAGACAACTGCAGAATGTAGAATACTGAGCAGGACAATAACCTGTCTCCTTCAGACAGTCCATGTCACCACGAATCACACAATAAAAAGGAGAAAAGACATTTTGGGTTCAAAAAAACTAAAAAGATAATGTAGCTATATTTCTTTAGTTATTTTGAACCCAAAGTATCTCCTCATCTTTTTGTTGTTGTCATTGATGGTAGGGGCATGGACTTGTTTGTAGAGGACAGGTCAGCTGTCTGGCTCAATGTCCTACAAGAGACAGGGGGGACATGGAAGTGTACAGCTATATTTGTGGATTAGTCTAGCTATCTGTTCAGTATTTAAGGTTGTTGTTGCATAGATATTTATGACTTGAAATTTTGCATAGATATTTATGACTTTTGTCAGGGGAGGGGTTGGTGGATTGGTCCTTTCATCATTTTATAACGTCCCTTTCTCTCTCTGATTAGTTTCTTTGTTCTTTTTTCTATGGACATCTTTCTTTTAAGGCAGAACTGCTGGTCAGAGATTCCCTTAGCTTTTCTTAATCTGAAACTGTTTTGATCTACCCCTTAATTCCTGAAAGACTCAGCAAATAAATACAAGACATAAATAAGAACCAAATGGAAGTATTAGAAGTGAAAAATGCAACTAAAATAAAAAGTCCAGCAGATAGGCTCAGCAGCAGAACGGATGGTGTGGAGCAAACAAATCCATATACTGCAGATGAGAAAAACAGAAATTACAGAATCCTAACAGGGAGATGGGGTTTTGCCATGTTGACTAGGCTGGTCTCGAACTGTTGACCTCAGGTGATCCACCCACCTTGGCCTCCCAAAGTTCTGGGATTACAGGCATGAGCCAAAGAGCCTGGCCTCCCTTCTTTATTTCTATCATGAATAGATGTTGAATTTGTCAAATGATTTTTCTTCATTGACTGATAAACATTTTTGTGGTCTGGTTTTGGAGTTGGGGTAATCATAGCTTTACAGAAATAGTCGAGAGGTGTTCCTTCATCTTCTATTTTCTGGAACAGATTGTACAGAATTGATGTTAATTCGGCTGGGCGCGGTGGCTCACGCCTGTAATCCCAGCACTTTGGGAGGTCAAGGCGGGCGGATCACGAAGTCAGGGGATCGAGACCATCCTGACTAACACGGTGAAAACCCGTCTCTACCAAAAATACAAAAAAATCAGCCGGGCGTGGTGGTGGGCACCTGTAGTCCCAGTTACTCGGGAGGCTGAGGCAGGGGAATGGCGTGAACCCGGAGGGCGGAGCTTGCAGTGAGCCAAGGTTGCACCACTGCACTCCAGCCTGGGAGACAGAGCAAGACTCCGCCTCAAAAAAAAAAAAAAAAAAGAATTGATGTTAATTTTTCTTCAACCGTTTGGTAGAATTCTCCAGTGAAACCATCTGGACCTGGAGCTTTTCTTTCTGGAAATTTTAAAATTAGGAATCCAATTATTTTCATAGTTACAGAGCTACTCAGATGACCTGTTTTGCTTTAGGTAAGTTGTGGTAGTTGATACTTATGACAAATTTGTCCAATTCATCTGGGTTGTCAAATATATGTGTGTACAGAATTTTAAATAGTTTTTCCCTTATTATTATCCCTTTGATATCTGCAGTCTGTAACGAGTGTAGTCCCTGTTTCATCCTGATGTTCATAAGCTGACTTCTTTTTTTCTTTGTCAAGTTTATTGATCTTTTCAAAGAGACAGCTTTATTTTCACTAGTTTCCCCTTTTGTTTTTTTCTGTTTTCAATGCCATTGATTTCTGCTATTATCTGTATTATTTCCTTCCATTTGCTTTAGGTTTTTTTTTTTTTTTTTTTGTAGATTCAGTCTCATTCCCATGGCGCAGGCCGGAGTGCAGTGGTGCGATCTCAGCTCACTGCAACCTCCACCTCCCGGGTTCAAGCGATTCTCCTTCCTCAGCCTCCAGAATAGCTGGGATTACAGGTGGGTGCTACCATGCCCAGCTAATTTTTTTGTATTTTTAGTAGAGACGGGGTTTTGCCTTGTTGGCCAGGCTCGTTTCAAACTCCTCACCTCAGGTGATCCACCCACCTTGGCCTCCCAAAGTGCTCGTATTACTGGCGTGAGCCACCGTGCCTGGCCTGCTTTAGGTTTCTTTTACTTGCTTTTTTCTTGTTTCTTGAGGGGGGAGCTTAAGTGTATTCATTTGAGACATCCCCTCTTTTCTTTTATCCCTTTTAAAAACTTTTGTATATAATTATTATTGTAGGAAGTTAGGCTTGGGCCCGCAAACTATGGAAGAACAGAATATACTAGGCCGCTGCTTTAATAGCTGGTGCCTGCTTGTCGCCCACCCCCACTCCCCCACCTTAGCTGCCTTGTCCAAACCAAAGAGTTTAGTCTAGAATGGACATTTACTAGCCTGCAAAATAGTTCACTACATCTATTCTTATCAGCTTGCCTGACTGCCCAGGTCATAAGTCAAATACTTGAAAAGCCCCCGAGCTGACCATGATTGCAATGCATTATGGGCTGCAACAAAATACAGGGAGACAACCCTAAAAAAAAAAAACAACAACCTAAAAGTCCCAACCCAAGATCCAATAGGCGACATCCGGGAATACTGTGACCCCATAGTACTCAGCCTATGAGGAACCGGGGGAGGCACTTCCACACTAGGGGATAAATTGCTTGTTGTAAGCCTACTGGGTGTGCCTGCCTACCAGACACCCGATCTTGCAAGACTGTCATTAATAATAAGTCGCACTTCTGCTGTTTTCCGGGTCTTGGAGTCCATTCTTTGGGTTTGGACGGGTGAGTTTATTTCTCACGATTATTTCCAGGCAGGCCTTGCCCAGTGGGTGGCTCATGCTTGTAATCCCAGCACTTTGAGAGGGTAAGCCTGGTGGATCACCTGAGGTCACGAGTTCGAGACCAGCCTGGCTAACATGGTGAAGCCCCGTCTCTACTAAAAATACAAAAATTAGCCGAGCGTGGTGGCGAGGGCCTGTGGTCCCAGCTACTCGGGAGGCTGAGACAGGAGAATCACTTGAACCCAAGAGGCGGAGGTTGCAGTGAGCCGAGATTGCATCACTGCATGCGACAGTGCAAGACTCCGTTTCAAATAATAATAATAATAATAATAACAATAATAATAATGGCACGACCTAAAGTTATGCAAGCATTTGCCTTAGATAAAATTTCAAGTTTTCAAAGTTGTTAGCTGGGTGGACCACATGGCTTTACTTCCTATTTCTTGGTATTTCCTAATCTTGTTGAAAAAGTTTTTCTTTTTCTCAAAGGCTTATTTCAGTGGAAGCCCATCTGCAAAATCTGTTATTAATTTAAATTAGAAAATCATTACAAGTCCCACTGACATGTGGGTTATTGTTTTTGCGAGTGACCTAAGGCCACTTCTCGGGGGAGCTGGGGGTTGCCTTCCCACGTCTGCGCGTCTGCACCCCATGCCCGGGCCTGGAAGTCAGACTCGGGGGCGGTGCTGCAGCACCAGGCCTGCAGTCCTAAGCGCGGGGTCGCTCCGGGCCCCCGAGGGGGTGTGTCTTCTGCCCCTTTAACCTGGCAGGGGCGGTTCAAGTGGCCCTGGAAATCAGCGATTTGTAGGGTCAAGGGCTGGTGCTTTAAAAGAGAGGCGGAGGGGAGAGAGGGATTTCCCGGTCTCTGCTGCACTCTGTCTATCCGCTCGGTTACTCCTTTTCCTGGCCCGCGCGAACCCGCTGTGCTGCAGAGGCGGCCATGTACCTTTAAGGCCCCGCTGCGCCTGCGCCTTGGGCTCTCCTGACGCGCTGAGCGGGACCCTGAGGAGCCAGCTGGCGCAGGCTATGGGCTGGGCGGCGGTTGAGACAGCGGCGGTATTGGGAGGGGTAGGTGAGGGTCGCGAGGCTGCGTGAGCATCTGAGTGAACGCGGTGCTTTTGGGAACGCGGGACGGGCGACCTGTGGCGCCAGGAGCGGGCCGAGGCGCGGCGCACGGATGCCGTCTGGATGGGAAGTTACGGTTTACAGCGAAGTCCACCCAGCGTTTCCGAGGTGAAGGCGCCGCGCCAGGCCGGGGGGCGGTGAGTCCGGGACCCGCGGGTACACAGCTGGGTCGAGCTGCGGCTGTCGCAAGTTTTGTTGCGAGCGACGGAGGGCGAGGCGGGGTGGGGGGTTGGGAGGGCATGTGTTCCGGCCCCGCCGAGGCTTAAGTTCCATGCGTTCGATTCCTCGCTTGCCGCTGCCGCCCGCAGCCCTCATCTCTTGGGCGCTGGGGAAGAAACTCGCTGGCGGGTGTTCTGTGGCATCCCAGGGGGTGGAGGGACGAGCAGCTTCGGGGGCACGTCCTCGTGTATCCTGTGGAGGACCCTGACCCCGCACCCCACCCTCGAGGCCAGAAATCAGTTGCCTCTGGGGACCTGAGAGGCGAGACCACTCGCGCCCCTGACTTGCAAAGTTGGGGTCTTTATTGGCCTCCGGGATTCTGCTCCTGGCGGTTTCTCCAGGCTGGTGATGGGCAACACATGAGGCGCGTTTGTAGCCATCACTGAATCACCTCATGACTAGCGGGGCAGGCCTCTAATTCACCGCAGGATTTCCAGTAGGTTGGATTGTGGGGTTGGTGTTTGCACTCCAAAGAGTTGGCGTGATTTCCCTGTATCTGTCTTTCTGGCTTGTTAGATCTTCTCATTTGGCGTCCTTTCTCCGAAGAGTTAACCAAGACGTTTGGCGTGGTTTTCTTGCTTTCCTCCTATCTTTTGCTGCTAGAGCTGCTTTCAAAAAGAAGTCTTTTCTTGCAGTGATACCTTTTCTTTGGGTTACAGTGTTGTTCATCCTTTCTTTGCCGAAAGAATGAATCCCAGTGCTTCACGAAGTTAAAGGAAAGATCTGCTGGTAGTGTTTAGTCTTTGTTCTGAGCTGATATGTGTTAGTAGCTTTTTGTTTTTAAATTTTATTAGTAAAATTTCACCAGTGAACCAGAAGCTCTTTTTTTCTGTTGTGAAATGCTAGCTTTAAGATTTCTGAGAACTTTGTGTCAAAGAAATCTTTGAAAAGTTACTGAAGTATACAGAGAGGTTCACAATTTTAAATGTGCAGGTGGTCCGGGCGCGGTAGATCACACCTGTAATCCCAGCACTTTGGGACGCCAAGGTGGGCGGATCACTTGAGCCCAGGATTTCCAGACCAGCCTGGGCAACGTGCCAAAACCCTATCTCTACTAAAATTACAAAAGTTAGCTGTGTGTGGTGGTGTGTGCCTGTAGTCCCAGCTACCTGGTAGGCTGAGGTGGGAGGATCACCAGAGCCCAGGAGGTTGAGATTGCAGTGAGCCGTGATCATGGCAGTGCACTCCCGCCTGGGTGGCAGAGTGAGACCCTGTCTCCAAAAAAAAAAAAAAAAAAAAAAAAAGTACAGATAATGAATTTTTACCAAGTGAACCACCACAGATCAAGAAATAGAACATTACTAGACTGGGGTATATTTGTAGGAGTGACATTGTTGGTTTTAGAGGTATATGAATGATAAAACTTAGTATTACATATTGTTGAACGTTTTCCCAAAGTGGTTGTACCATTTAGCAGGGATATTCTGGTTACCCCACAACCTTGCTGATGCCTGTCAGTTAAAAATTATTTTGCCATTCTAGTAGGGGTGCAGTAATGTATCAGTGTGATTTCATTTTGCATTTTCCTGGTATTGAGATTGAGTATCTTTTATTGTCATTTGTGTGTCCTCTTTTGTGAAGTGCCTGTTAAATCTTTTTATCCAGTTTTCATTGATATGCTTGTTTTTCTGTTGATTTGTAATACTTTTTTCCGGATATGTGTCCTTTCTACGATATATATGTATTGCATTTCCCTTTTTTCAATCTGTAGCTTGCCTTTTCGCTCTTTTAATGGTGCTTATTCATGAATGGAGATTCTCTAACTTTTTTTTTTCTTTTTGAGACAAGATCTCACTCTGTTGCCCAGGCTGGAGTGCAGTGGCACAATCACAGCTGACCGCAACCTTGACCTCCCAAGGCTCAGGTGATCCTCCTGCCTCAGCCCCCAGGTAGCTGAGACCTACAGGTGAGCACCACCACACTCAGCTCTTTTCTATATTTTTAGTAGAGATGGGGTTTTGCCACATTGCATAGGCTGGTCTGGAATTCCTAGGCTCAGGTGAGACATCTGCCTCGGCCTCCCAAAGTGTTGGGATTACAGGCATGAGCCACTGCACCCAGCCTGAGATTCTTAATTTTAATGAAATTATACTTTATCAATCTTTTCCTTTATGGTTACTGCTTTTTGTGTCCTGTTTAAGAAATCAATGCCTAACCTAGGAGTATGAACACATTTTTCTGTGTTAACCTTATAACAATTTTATTTTAGTTTTTGCATTTCTTTTTTTTTTTTTCAGACAGGGCCTCACTCTATTGCCCAGGCTAGAGTGCCGTGGCAGGATCTCAGCTCACTGCAACCTCCACCTCCTGGCTCAAGCGATCCTCCCACCTCAGCCTCCTGAGTAGCTGCGACTATAGGAGTGTGCCACCATGCCTGGCTTAATTTTCATATTTTTTGTAGAGATGGGGATTCAACATGTTTCCCAGGTTGGTCTCAAACTCTTGGGCTCAAGTAATCTTCCCACTTAAGCCTCCCAGAGTGTGGGGATTACAGGCATGAGCCACCCCACCCGGCTGTGATTCACTTTTTACTACATGGATGTGTCTGCTTGATCCAGCACCATTTATTGAAAAGACTATCCTTTTCCTTCTGCACTGTTTGGCACTTTTTTTCTTAAATCGGATGACTGCATGGTCATCCAATTTATGAAATTAGTGTGGGTCTGTTTCTGTTTCTGGACCAACCTGGGCAATATAGTGAGATCCCATCTCTACAAAAAATAAAAATAATAAATAAATGAGTAAAATTTAAAAAATAAGTGCATAGAGCAGATGGAGTCATAGGTGATAATTTATAAATGATTGTCAGTTTCTTGGCTACATACGGGTGTTGGTAATTCAGATGTGTTGGGCATTCAGGGAAAATGTATTAAGGGAAGTATGTGGTGTTCACAGTGATTGCTAGATGTTCATTGTGACTTGAATTAGATGTTATTTGAGCCTCACAGAGCTACAGTTTTGACTCTTTATTTATTTATCTTTTTACAATTTTTACAATCTTCCTGTCAAGGCAGTAACTCTTTTATACTTCATTGTTCTTAGGTATACTTAATTACCAGGAAAACTTTATGGATCGTACCTAAATAAGCGTTAAGCCATTTAAAGGGCCGACGTGATATGATGTAAACAATAGTATTCTACATAATAGTTTTAGGACTACATCGAACAATTTTTTTTTTTTCTTGAGACAGTGTCTCGCTCTGTTGCCCAGGCTGGAGAGGAGTGGTATGATCATGGGTCTCTGCAGCCTTGACCTCTCAGGCTCAAGCAGTCTGCCCACCTCAGCTTCCTTAGTAGCTGGGTCTACAGGCATGCACCACTATGCCCGGCTAATTTTCTATTTTTTGTAGACAGGGTTTTCCTGTAGTGCCCAGACTGGTTTCAAACTCCTGGGCTCAAATGACCCTCCCACCTTGGCATCTCAAAGTGTTGGGATTACAGGCATAAGCCATCACCGCTGGCCATTTTAGTTTTAATAATTTTTATGTTTTTCTAATTTAAAAGATTTACTAAAATCTCTTACAGCTATTATTTATGAATATAGTATTCATTGTTGTTATTATGATTATTTTGTATGTGTTCAATCTCATTTTCAACATAAGCTCCTGGAAATTTGAGATTTTGTCTCTTATTCACCACTGTATTCTCAGTACTTGACCTTGCCTGGCATGAAACAGATATTGAATAAATATTTGTTAAATGAATGAATGAATGAACATACTAATACCATATTCAACAATCTCCAAGTGTCACAGTTTTCACCATCTAACAAATAAAATAGCTTGTATACAGCAGAGTCACAGTCAACCTGACATAAAAGGAAATGTCAATGAAAAGTAAACCTTTGTATGAGTTGCTGCTAAGATTTTGGGGCTTTTGTTACTGTAGCATAACCTAGCGAAAGCTCAGCGAGACAGCCTGTAGAATATACGTGTACAGATAGACCAGATAGACCAGTAGATGAGATTCCAAAGAAGCATTAACTACACCCACACACTCTTAATTCCCTAACAGAAAGAATCGAATTCTTGTTCACTAAGATCTGCCTCAAGTATTACTTGGTGAAAACTTCCCTGGCTACTCAAGTATTTAGTCAGGACTCTTTATTTTTTTTTCCCCCAGGCTGGAGTTCAGTGGTGCCATCATAGCTCACTAACCTCTAATTCGAGGCTCAAGGAATCCTCCTGCCTCAACCTTCAGAGTAGCTGAGACTACAAGTGTGTGCCACCATGCTGGGCCAATTTTTCATTTTTTATTTTCAGAGATGGGGTCTTACTATGTTGCCGAGGCTGGTGAGGACTGTTGATTACATATGACAGGAACCCAAACAATTCTAGTTCCCCACCACCTTTCAACCTGCTCCTCCCTGGGTCTTCCCAGTCTCCGTAAACGGCAGCTCCATCCTTCAAGTTGCCGAAGCCCCAAATCTCAATATTAACCATGATTTCTCTCTTTTATCTCATAGGCAATCTGAAAGCAAATCCTGTTTAGATGCAGGCGAAGGTTCCTGGTGACCCAGGCTCTCACCTTACCGTCCCTTACCGTCCTCCTGAGGGTGTCCTGGAGCTTCAGTGCTGTGTGTTCTTGGCCTCCACGCTGGGGGTGCCACCAACTCCCACTGTCCAGGGCTTCCAGTGGACTCTCCGAGGTACTGATGTAGAAACTTCCCCATTCGGTGCACCAAGAGCAACCTCACACGGTGTGGGCCGAATGAAGAGCTGCCAGATCCCACAGGTAAAAACCCTGAGGCATTGCCAGCTCGATGGAGTCAGAGAGTCCTTTTTCTATTATGACTCAGATGTGAAGGGAAGATGCCAAGGGCCCTAAACATCGCAGGGCCTTGCCTGGCATGAAACAGATACTGAATTAATATTTGTTAAATGAATGAACAAATATTCACAGCATGTGCCACCCTCGACCTGCAGTGCTGTTGTCAGGTGGAAGTGATTTTACTTCAGGAGAGGACAGTGTTCTCTCCAGGACTTTTCCTTAGTAGCTAGATCTGCATCCCACTCCTTGCTCTTCCCCTCTTACCCCCCATTCTCTGCCCCCATTTCCGTCTCTTGTTTCCACCCTGCCGTCCCCTTTCACCTGCTTTCTTCTCTTCAGCTTTCATGGCTCACCCCCTCCCTGTCCACCCGCATCCCCCAGGCTAAGGCCCTGCACTGTCCTGGGTGGGGAGATGTGTGTGGTTTTAGGCAGTGCCCTCTAGATGTGTCCAGGATGGGGAAACATGGCTCAGTTGCCAGTATAATGGGTTAAAAGAGAGGCCACTTTTGAAGGCCGTTCCCATCTCCCATTCCAGAATCCTGTAGGACTTAGAATTTATGGGCCACAGTGGAATTCTTGGTTCCCCAGGACCTTGTGGTGGATGCCTTCTTTCACTGAGCATTCATGGGGTGACTATTAGGCACCATGCCCTGCTCTGGGCTAGAGACCCCATAACGAGTAAATCTCAGGTCACTACCCCATGGAACCCACCACTGCAGGCATTGAGAGGGGGAGAAAGAAAGGGGCATGGCCTGTTTGTATCCTTCTCACGTGGCCGTCCACCAGGTCCTGGGGGAGTGGGAGCCAGTGCAAGGAGGGAAGTCCAGTGAGAATGACAAATGGACGATGTCAGACCCAGGGGCTGAGGCCCCCACCTGCAGCTGGGCAGCTTCTGGAGTGGACAAGGAGCAGCAGGGAAGGTTGCGGCCTGGTGTTCTGGGATCCACTGTCTCATCTCATTCTTTTGGGCACCAGAACTTATCCAAAGACAAGACTCAGTGTCTCTGGCAACAGTGGGCCAGAGGAATAATGTGTTTCAGAGAAGGAAGAAGGGGTTGTACCCCATGGAAACAGTATATAGTTTTACAGTAGTGCGTCTGTCTCCAATAACTAGTTAGCGTGTTCCTGTTAATGGAAAATACTGGTGGTGTAAGTTCCCCTGGATGTTCTCATCTTCATGTAAGTTTGTTCATTTCCTTCCTTCCTTCCTTCCCTACTTCTCTCCCCTCCCTACTTCTCTCCCACTCTTTTTCTCTCTCTCTTTATTCTTTCCCTCCCTCCTTCCCTTCTGCCTTCCCTCCCTTCCTTTCTTCCTCCCTTCCTCCCTCCCTCCCTGCCTTCCTCCCTCCCTCCCTTCCTTCCTTCCTTCCTCCCTTCCTCCTTCCTTCCCTCCCTCCATTCTTTCCTTTCTTCCTTTCTTCTTTTCTTTTTCTTTGTCTCTCATGCTCTCTCTTTTTCTTTCCTTTTTGTTCTATTTTTTTAAATAGACCACACTGCACTGAAATCTACATTACTTACCAAAACCTCTGGAGCTGCTTCTGTCTTGTAGGCAGGGAGCTCGTCCTGTAGCCCTTAGGTCCTCCCAGCCTCCTCCTCCTCTGATTTGTGGGTGCCACTGGGGCAGCTGCTGAGTCTCAGTGGTTCCTAGTCATCACCAAGTTCTGCCCACCTAGATGGTTTGCACCTGTCCTTACCAGAACCCTGCACTGTCTAGATGACTGAGGCTGCTTCTGCCTAACTGATCTGCTATCTGTGTTCTGGGGGCACCCCAGGGTTAGAGGTAAATGGCACAGGCATTGAAATCTCCAACTGCTCTGACTCCAGGTTGGTGCACTTCAATGCCAAGTACTAACCACACAATAACAGGATGCCACCAAAACCTTGGTATGGGGCTGCTGCATCCTAATTAAAAAAAAGTAATAGATGTTATTTTTTAGAAAAGTTCTAGGTTTACAGAAAAATGGAGTGGATAGTACAGAGAGTTCTCCTAGGCTCCCCTGTCCTCCAGCACACAGTTTCCCCTATTAGTATGTTGTATTAGTGTGGTCCATTCATTACAATTGATGAACCACTATTGATACATCATTATCAACTAAAGTCCATAGTTTACACTAGAGTTCATTCTTTGAGTTTCACAGATTATGGGTTTTGGCAATTATGTAATGTCCTAAATCCCCAATACAGCATCATGCAAAATAGTTTCACTGCTGAAAATTCCCTGTACTTCACCATTTCGTGCCTCCTCCTCTCCTCCACCCCTGACAACCACTCATCATTTTACTACTTCTATCTTTTTGACTTTCCAAGAATGTCCTAGAGTTGGAATTACAGTATGTAGGTTTCCAGACTGGCTTCTTTCTAGCATTATGTACTTTTAAGTTCCTCCACGTCTTTTCATGACTTGACAGCTTGTTTTGTAAAATCACTGAATCAGATTTCATTGTATGGCTACAACACAGTTTGTTTATTCATTCACTTGGTGAAAGATGTCTTGGGTACTTCCAAGTTTTGACAATTATGATAAAATTGCTGCAAGTACTTATGTGCAGGATTTTGAATGAACTTAAGTTTTCCAAAGTGACTGTACACTTTTGATTTCCACTAGCTATGGAGAGTTCTGGTTGTTCCTCATCTTCGACAGCATTTGGTGTGTTCACCGTTTTGTGTTTTAGCCATTCTGATAGGTTTACAGTGATATCTCGTTGTTTTAATGTGCAATTCCCTCACAACAAATGATTTTGAGCATCTTTCTCATATGCTTATTTGCCATCTGTATATCTTATTAATGAGGTGTTCAGATCTTTCACCTTTTTTTTTTTTTTTGCTTTGTGTTGTTTAGTTCTCAGAATTCTTCATATATTTTGGACAGCAGTTTTTCCATCAGATTATTTTGTAAATATTTTCTCCCAGTCTGTGACTTGCTTTTTCCATTCTCTTAACAGTGTCTTTCACACAACAGAAGTTTTTAATTTTAATGAGGCTCAACTTAATTTTTTTTCATTAGTAGATTGTGCTTTTGGTTTTGTATCTAAGAAGCCATCATTGAACCCAGGATCCCTCAGATTTTCTCCTATTTTATCTCTTAGGATTCTTATGGTTTTGCACCTTACATTTACATGTAAGATTTATTTTATAAAGGGTATATAACATGCATACCTGGATTTATTTATTTTTTTGCATGTGGTTGTCCAGCTGTTCTAGCACCACTAGTTGGAAAGGCTATCTTTGCTGTTTTAAATTGTCTCTAAACCTCCATGGAAGATCAGTGGACTGTATGTAGGCCTGCTTCTGGGCTCCGTATTCTTTTCCATGCATCTATATGTGTGTGTTTTCTCTTTTCACCAACTTCACACTATTTGGGTTACTGTAGCTTAATGTAAGTCCTGAAGTTGGTAGTGCCAAACCTCAGGGAGTTTTTCTGAACTTCATCATGAGAACCTGGTTGAGATCATTGTAGTAACACTTGGAAATGTGTGAGATTCCCCCTTAGTCTGGTCTTCAAGGAGTTTTTAATGTTCTAGCCAGGCTACCCTCAGCTTCTAGTAATCTGTCAATACCATTTAAGTGCTCCTCCCACTTGCTGTCCCCAGTAGCTTCTCTTCCCTGTGAGCTGTGACTCCTTGTGTGTTAGCCTGTGTTTCTCATTTTTAAGGTGGCAGTTTTCCCTGTGACCTCAATTCTCTGATCCACCCTAGAAGGATTGACTTTCAGTTTGTTCAGCTTTTTTCTAGCTGTGAGGACAAGTGATGACTGCCTAGCTCTTTCCATGTTGAAATAGAAACCCAAAAGTTTGTTTAAAGAATTACTTGTTATAAAAGTCCCCCATTGTTAATGTACAACCCAATGATGTAAGTTGATTTATCGAATTGTGCAGCCATCAGCAGAGTTCTACTTCAGCATATTTTGTCACTTCCCAAATTCCCTTGAACCTGTTTGTAGTCATTTCCTAATCCCTGGTCCTCATGACTGGGTCTGAATAAAATAAACATTTGGAAAGCAGATTTCATTATATTTACATTTTCCTGTGTTTGGGACTTTATATAGTGGACTATTGTGTTCATTTTGTGACAAGTAGAGAAGAGATTGCATTCTAGGGATGGTTTTTGGGGAAACATAATAGTAGTCCTGTTTATGGCTCTCCTTGAATTGGTTCATCTGTGCTGGTGACTGGTATTTGTTACCAAACCTTGTCTGGTGAGCACAAGAAAAGGAATTTTTTAAAATCTGCTATTAAAATTGAGATGATACATTTTCACATAATAATATTTGGAGTTAAGTAGTGAACCGTCTTTATTTTATCTTTTTTTTTGGAGATGGAGTTATTTCTCTTTTCCTTGGGCTCAAATGCAACGGCACCATCTCAGCTCACTGCAACCTCCACCTCCTGAGTTCAAGTGATTCTCCTGCCTCAGCATCCTGAATAGCTGGGATTACAGGCGCCTGCCACCACACCTGGCTAATGTTTGTATTTTTGGTAGAGACAGGGTTTCTTCATGTTGGCCAGGTTGGTCTCTAACTCTTGACCTCAAGTGATCCACCTGCCTTGGCCTCTCAAAGTGCTAGGATTACAGACACGAGCCACGGCCTGACCTGAACTGTGGGGAAAAGAAAGAGAGATCAGATTGTTACTGTGTCTGTGTAGGAAGAAGTAGACATAAGAGACTCCATTTTGTTCGGTACTAAGAAAAATTCTTTTGCCTTGAGACGCTGTTAATCTGTAACCCTACCCCCAACCCTGTGCTCCCTAAGACATGGGCTGTGTCAACTCAGGGTTAAATGGATTAAGGGCTGTTCAGGGTGTGCTTTGTTAAACAAATGCTTGAAGGCAGCATGCTTGTTAAGAGTCATCACCACTCCCTAATCTCAAGTACCCAGAGGCACACTACACTGCGGAAGACTGCAGGGTCCTCTGCCTAGGAAAGCCAGGTATTGTCCAAGGTTTCTCCCCATGTGATAGTCTGAAATACAGCCTCGTGGGAAGGGAAAGACCTGACTGTCCCCCAGCCAGACACCCGTAAAGGGTCTGTGCTGAGGAGGATTAGTAAAAGAGGAAGGAAGGCCTCTTTGCAGTTGAGATAAGAGGAAGGCATCTGTCTCCTGCTCGTCCCTGGGCAATGGAATGTCTCGGTGTAAAGCCCGATTGTATATTCCATTTACTGAGATAGGAGAAAACCGCCTTAGGACTGGAGGTGGGACATGCTGGCAGCAATACTGCTCTTTAAGGCATTGAGATGTTTCTGTATATGCACATCAAAAGCACAGCACTTTTTTCTTTACCTTGTTTATGATGCAGAGACATTTGTTAACGTGTTTACCTGCTGATCTTCTCTCCACTATTATCCTATTGTCCTGCCACATCCCCCTCTCTGGAAATGCCCGATAATGATCAATAAATACTAAGGGAACTCAGAGGCCAGTGCCAGCATGGGTCCTCCGTATGCTGAACGCCGGTCCCCTGGGCCCATTTTTCTTTCTCTGTACTTTGTCTCTGTGTCTCTTTCTTTTCCAAGTCTCTCCTTCCACCTAATGAGAAACGCCCACAGGTGTGGAGGGGCAACCCATCCCTTCACTGAACCATTTTTATTCTTCCAGAAATGTGATTGATAACAGTAAAGCCACACTCCTCAAGTGCCTGAAATACCCCTCATTGTCTTCTTCAGGTGGCAAGGGCTCTGGAACAGCCACATAAAGGTGAGGGCAATATTTTTACTGTAGTTCTTTCATTGATTGGTTGATTGATTTTTTTCTCTTAGAGGGTTAGCATACATTTATCTGAAATTGAAATTCAAGAGGAGAGACAGGCACCTGTACTAGTTTTCTCTTGCTGCCTATTATCACATTACCACAAACCAGTGGTTTGAAACCACAGAAGTCTGGAATGAAGTGGCCGGGTTCTCTGATCAGAGTCATGTGAGGCTAAAATCCGGGAATGGGCTGGCTGTGTTTTTTTCCTAGAGCTCAAGCTATTTTTCCAGGTTCACTACAGATAATGAAAGAGTTCCTATTCTTGTTTGTGGGGGACTGAGGGTCCTTTTTCTGTGCTGGCTGTCAGCGGGGAGACAGTCTACTCTGACTCCAGAGGCCACGTGCTTTCCTCCTTACCTGTCTGTTTCATCTTTCAACCAATAACAACTCATGGAGTCCTTCTCAAGCTCCCACCTTCTCTGACTTCATCTTCTCCAACCAGCCACACAAAGCTCTGTCATGTATGGAGTGATGTGATTAGATCGAGTTCATGCGGTAACCTCACCATCTTAAAGTCATATAACTGGCATATAACAACATAGTCACAGGAATGGTGTCTCATCACCTTAAGAGGCTTTAGAGACAAGGGTGTGGCATGTTTGGGGACCATTTCAGAAATTCCATCTACCACAGTAGGACACTCACATTCCCCCATCTGCAAAGTGCATTTACCCTCTCCCCTGAGGTTTCCAGATTTCATGTCATTAAAGCATTAGTTCAACATGAAAAATGTCATGTAGACCACATCAGATCAAAAGTTTAAAATCCCATCTAAAACATCCACACCAGGTGTGAATGAGGCTTCCGAGAGTGTCCATTAAGTGCAGATCCTTGACATAATTCCCTTACCTCTGTCGACCTGTGAAACTGAACAAACAGCTTATCTGCCTCTAATGTGAAATGATGAGACAGACATAGAATAACAACTACAGTGATTCTAGTTCAAAATGAGGGAACATGGAGGGGATAAAGAAGTCACTAACCCAAAATAGTTTGGAAATGGAGCTGGGCAAAATCCAGCAGGAGTTTCTTAGTTAGGATCCACAGCCTGGGACTGACCCTCTGTCCTGTGGGTCTTTGCCTCTGGGCTCTCTGCTCTGCATTTCTTGAAACCATTATTATTTATCATTTTTCTCACACTGTTTTGCGTATGGCTCCTATTGCACTCAAAATGTTTTTGAGATTCATCCATGTTGTTTTGTGTGTCAAAAGTTTGTTCCTTTAGCCATTCCATGGAATGAATGTATCACAGTTTATTGATCCATTCTTGTATTGATAGATATTTGAATGTTTCCAGTTTTTCCTATTATGAATAAAACTGCTATGAACATTCTTGTATAAATCATTTTCTGGACATATGTTTTAATTTCTCTTGGATAAATGCTTAGGAATTAGTGAGTCATAGAATAGATAGTTGTTTAGTTCTGTAAGAATATGCCAGACATTTTTTCCCAAAGTGTTTATACTATTGTACATTCCAACCATTAATGTATGAAGGTGAGAAAGCTTTTGCTACTTCCAAAGAGGCCTCTCTATATACATGTAATTTTTTCTAACTGGAGACAGGCTGATGACTTCAGGGACATGAGCATGGGATACCTGTCATCACCACCACCATAAAGTTGGGATTCAGGAAGGAGGTTAATCATATAAAGAATCCTGTGACCAGTATGAGCTTCTCTCAGGCCACACAGGGCACTCAAGTGAACAGGGCATGGGGGCCCTGGGGTCATGGTAAGAAAGTGTCTCATTGGTAAAACCTTTTCCTCTGGGGAGGTAAATAAATGATTTGTTTCTTCTTGGTAGCCCTTGAAGATAAGGATGGTCAAACAAAATAATATCATACCTGGAGAAACTCAGATCTTGCTAAGATTTACTGGTTGGGAATCCAAAGTTAATGCCAAGAAGCAGCCGCCAGTTGGGATCAAATGTGAGCCTATGGATCAAGGTGCGTACTCAAACACAGAGAGCTTTCTGAAAGATGCTACCAGTAGTTTTTCCAGGGCAGAGATGGGTCCTTTATTTTTCTCTCTAATCTAGCCCATATGCTTAGCTGAGTTTTCTTTGTATCACTTTAAATGATGATGTCCCTTGTTCAACAATTTTCTAAACATTCTTTAGATAATAATTTTATGGGCATTCTTTATTGCATTAGGCTTAAATTTTTTAATGCATCTTAAGGTTTTATTGCAAAATATTGCCTTGTTTCCTTTTTAAGATGATACAGTTTATAATATGCAAATTTGTTGTCTGTCCCCTCCCTTTATGTACATAGAAAATGAGCAAACAGGTGGCCATGAAACAGATGGTCATAGAATTGGTTCAGTGGTTGTGAGTGCAGCAACCCAAGAGTGTCTTATCTGAAATACCACCAGGAATGTCTGGACACAGTAGACAAAGGTTTTTCAACTGGACGCCTTAGGATACATGCTTGCAAAAACAAAGTAGCCAAAAAGAAACCAGAGTCACAGAATATCAGAGCCAGAGGAACATTTGGAGGTAATTCAGTACCTCCTCCTTTTCAACCTACAGGGGAGATAGTGGAAGAGAAGCAGGGATGGGTCTGCCTTCTGTGCCCACAATTCATTGGAGATTGTTGTGGTGAAGAATTTCTTTTATGATGAAGGAGAAATAAACTCCCATCAGCTTTAATTCAGGCAGGTTTATTGAAAAGGTGAAGAAGCATCTTGCAGAAGCAAAGCATGGCTGAGGCTTGTGGGCTATGTCTGGACAAATGAGCAGCCGACAGTGGCTGATGCTGCCCCTGACTCTGGGGCCATGCGGTCTGTGGTTCTCTGTGAGCATCTCTTCTATTCTCTTGCACGTTCCCTCAGCCTGGCAGTCTCTGTGTACTCTTCAACCCATAATTGAGTGAGGCTGTACCAGCCCCAATGCCATGTAGCACTTTATGTCAAATTAGAAAGGCATGAAATAAACTAACCCTTTATAATACAACTGTTGGAACAACAGTTGAAAATAACAATATCTTGACTCCTGGTTGAGTGCTTTACACTGAGCTGTCTTTTCCGAATATGAGCACAGACTTGGGGATATTAGTGTCACCTAGCGTTATTAGCTAGTATTCTCCTTTTGTTTCCCCATAACATCCCCTCCTCCTTCCCACAGATCCACTCTCCACTCATTTCCATCCTGTCTTATGCCACTTGGGGCTTGTCCCTTCTAGAATGCATCCCTGGCTCCCCTGTGTGCACACTTGTAGTTAGGTTTAGCAGTGGGGGCACCCGATGGAGCCTGGAAGTGAGAGGAAGGTGAGGTCCGTATTTCTTCCCTCTCCCTCCCTGCTCTGGCACTGAGTATCTGGTAATAGCTGCATCTGTCTATTACTTCAGTGGCCACTCTTCCACAGCCCCAATTCTCAGTGGGTCCCATAGCATTATTTACCTTTGTTCCTTTAGCTCCCATCAAGGAAGACCCAGAGGCATTCTCCTCACCAAGGCATTAAGAAATGCATGGGTGAGGGGAACAGCGGCGTGCGTGTAAAGGTCCTGTGGCACCTCTCCTCTGCAGGCTGGAGGTCATGGCGGGAGATGCTGCATGGATTTGCCCTCCCTGCTGTCAGAACAACAGGGTTCTGGAAGAGTAGAGGACAGGCCGTGGGACTTGGCTGTCTAGAGACATGGCGGGAGGGATTTCCTTGAGAGGCAGGGACATGTGGTGGTTACTAATCATTGTGAGGTGTCTGGGATGTAATGGATGGGAAATCTACTAAGAAGTCAACTTATGTAATAATTAGAAAAGCTCTAGTTCTGAGGACAGAGACCTGTTGGAGTCACCATAGTGGGAATTTTTGACCTGGCATCCAGTTCAGATACCTGGAGCTTCTTGACTGAGGGGAGATTGGATCCCTTGGGGAAGAGTGAAGCCTTCAATGCTGCCACAAGTGTGATCCGCCCGCCTCAGCCTCCCAAAGTGCTGGGATTACAGGCGTGAGCCACCATGCCCGGCCTCTTTTTTATATTTAAAAAATATCATTTTGTATATTATCAGGGCAAAAGAGAAAAACTGTATGATTACCTTGTCATACACAGTAAAAGCATTTGGCAAAATTGAAAACTTTTTTCATGATTTATAAAAACAAACCCCAGAAAATGCTCAGCATGATGAGAACAGAAGGCAACACTTCCAACCCCATTAAGGGCAGATTTGAAGAACCCACAGGTAACATTATATTAAATGGCATAAGATTGAATGCTTTTCTATTAAATCAGAGAAAAAAGTAGAATACCTGTTATTACTCTTTTAATTCAGCATTATACTAGAGCTCTAAATCAATGCAATAAAGTAAGAAAAATTAATAAAGTATTGAAAAGAAAGAATTGAAGCTGTCTTTATTCACAGATAATGACTGTGTTTGTTAACAATGCTAGAAATCTACAAAAATCTACCAGAACTAATCAGTGAGTTTGGTAGTGTTGCAGAATGTAAGCTCTCAATATAAGTGGTCTTTTGTATTTCTGTATATTAGCAATGAGCATTTGGAAAATGAAATAAGAATACAATTTCATTTAAAGTAACATCTAAATACATGTTGTGCTTATAAATAAATTCAACAGACTGGGCACCGTGGCTCACACCTGTAATCTCAGCACTTTGGGAGGCCGAGGTGGGCAGATCATGAGGTCAGGAGATGGAGACCATCATGCCTAACACAGTGAAACCCCATCTCTACTAAAAATACAAAAAATTAGCTAGGCGTGGTGGCATGTGCCTGTAGTCCAGCTACTTGGGAGGCTGAGGCAGGAGGATCACTTGAACCTGGGAGGCAGAGGTTACAGTGAGCCGAGATCGCATCACTGCACTCCAGCCTGGGTAACAGAGCAAGACTCTGTCTCAAAAAAAAAAAAAAAAAAAAAAGGAAAGTCAACAAAATTTATGTAAGGCCAGTACACCAAAAACTATAAAAAATTGCTTTAAGAAATTATGAAAGAACTAAGTTAGTGGGGAGATAAACCTTGTCATGGATCAGAAGAGTTGTTATGTTTAAAAAGTCAGTTCTTCGTAAATTGATCTCCAGATCCAATGCAATTCTAATAAAAATTCCAACCGGCATTTTGGTAGAAATTTACAAGATGATTCTACCATTTATATGGTAATGTCAATGATCAAGAATAATAAAATAGCAATATTATAAAAGAATAATGGTGAATGAATTCACTACCTATTTCCAGAATTACTCTACAGCTATGAAAATCAAGATTATGTGTTTTGTTGAAAAAAAAAATGGAATATATATCAGTGGAAGAGAAGAGAGAATCCAGAAATAGATACTCACATGTATGTCTAATTGATTCTTAGGACATATATATATGTATACACACATACACACACAAACGTGTGTGTGTGTGTGTGTGTGTGTGTGTATATATTCACCGTTTTGAAGATTATCATCTCCAAATAGGGAATATATATATATATATATATATATATATATATATATACAGACACACACACACACATATATATATATATTGCAATCTGATAAGATAAACAGCACATTGAAACAATTTCTCAAAAGACTTAGATACTTCAGAAAAGAAGATACATGAATGGGCAATTAGCATAGGAAAAGATGCTCCACTGTTTAGTCATCAGGGAGATCAATCAGTGCAACAATGAGATACCACTACATATCCATAAGAATGGCTAAAATTAAAAAGGCTGAAAATAGCACCTGTTGGTGAGGATATAAAGCACTTGGAAGTCTTATACTTGTAGGAATGAAAAATGGTATGGCTCCTTTGAAAATCTAACAGTTTCTTAAAGGTTAAACATAACACAAATCAGATAGACAGTCATTCCATTCCTAGGAATTTACACACTGTGTCTGCACAGTGATCTGTATGTGTGTTTCCAGACCAACCTGAGGGGCGGGCTGCTATTTCTCATGGCTCAGTAATGAGACACAGATGAACTGGGGAGGAAGAGAGTTTTGACTTCTGCAACTGGTTACAGGGAAACGGCCTGGAAATTATCACCAGACCAACTCAAAATTGGAAAGTTTTCCTGAGCTAATGTACCTTCTAAGCTATATGTGTATGTGGAAGTGTGCATTCATCTAAATACATAAATGATTAACTTCTTTTAATCTATAACTAAGTCTGAGTCCTGAAGACCTTCCTCTGGAACCTCAGTTAAATTCAGTTAATCTAAATGGGTCTAGGTGCTGGGGTCCCTTATCTTGTCTCCTGCTAAATCACAGAGGTTTGGAGAGTCCCTTCAGATCTCCAATAAACTTGTTTGTGGAGGCCTGGGGAGTTTCTTCAGACCCCCAATAAAACTCGTTTAATACTAAATGGCTCCTGTTAAGAATGCCTTCGTTATTTCGTCATGCTTTAAGGCCCAGGAAAAACCTAGGCAAAACTCTTGGTGGGCTTTTGTTACATTCCAGCCTTTGTATAAGGGCACTGGCTTCTTTTTTTTTTTTTTCCTCTTAATATTTAATTGAACCACTCAGTCGGTACTGAAACAGTTGTTAGGGAGGCCTGTGTTAGTGAGACCTGGCCTGCCACGTATGGATGCTCATGATAGTTTCTTCATAATAGCCCAAACGTGGAATGATAGAAATGTCCAATAATAAGTGAAAGTACAAACATACATGGTATAGCCACACGAAGGAATACTACTCAGTATTTACAAGACATTACAGATGGATTTTAAAATTACATTGATGCATGAAAGAAGGCAGACACAAAAGAACACAGGTATCATTTCATTTATAGAAAATGGTTAAAAATGCAAACGGACCTGAAGTGACAGTGGCTCCTTGGGGCTGAGGGTTGAAAGGCTGATGAACTGCAAAGGGGTACAAGAAACTTTGGGGCATAGGGAATTTCCTCTATCTTGGTTGTGGCAGTAGTTCCGTTAGTGTATCCATTTGTAAACGTGCATTGAATTACACATTTTAAAGTGGTGCAGTCTGTTGTACCGAAATTATGCCTTTATAAAGTTGATTTCATCATCTTAATTTCTCCATACTAGCAATTAGCAGCTAGAAAATGAAATTCAATAAAACATAATAGAGATTAACAGCCAGAATCATTACATGCTTAACAATACATGCAATGAAGCAGGTACAAGGCCCCTAAAAGCAATTGGTGAGAAAAATTAAAGAAGGCTAAATAAATATATATCATGTTCATTGCTTGGAAGACTCAATTTTGTTAGCATATTACATCAACACAATTCTGCTTAATATTTCTAGTAGGAGATTTTAGAGAAATTTGAAAGCTAGTTTCAAAATGTATTTGAAAATCAAAGAACCTAGAATAAGCAAGTCGGTATTGAAGAAGCAATAAGTTGGAGGACTTACTCTGCTAGATTTCAAACCTGATTTTAAAGCTACAGTAATTTTAAAACAGTAGTAATGGTGTCAGTATTCATAAATACATCAAAGTGAAAGAATACAGACTCAAACAATATGCCCACATATGTACAGTTATTGATTTTTTTTAGTAGAAACTTTTTTATTCATAAAAAATCCATCAAAACAAAAAAGTTTTCCAGCCACACACAGGAGGGGTATGGGTGGGGGAAGGTGTCTGTCCATCTATCCCTGGCCCCCAGCCCATGTGGTTTTGGCAGCAATAAGGTGTGTGGAGTAATGACTCCTGAAATTAAAATGGTGTGTGTATGTGAAGGAAAGGCGGGCAAAGCTGTGGGGAGCGGTGGAGTGGAAGGAACAAAGGAGGTCAGTACTGGGAACGCTGAAGGTGGGAGGCCATTTCATAACATTACTTGTCGATGAAATTGCCATGGATACCTTCTTTGCCCATCAGCAGGCCTAGCGTCTTGGCAGTCATGGTGACAATGACGTTGAAGGTGGGGGCTCCACCGATGCTCTTCATACGAAGATCCGTGGTCAATTCCCCATCCTGCAGCAGTGAGTCCAGGACCACAGTATATTTCTGGCCCCCCAGTGTCAGCCCATTCATGACAAAGCTTGACCAGTCTTTGCCAACCAGGACACCAACCTCAGCTGGCGTGATGTTGAGGAAGGTTTTCCCTGGGACGGCGGCCCAGATGGAAGGCGGGTCCTTGTTACCCACAATGGCAGTGTCCTAACAGGTCCCGTCCGCCACGAGGCTGTAGATGGAGGTGTCCACCTGGCCGTTGCGTTGCTGCAGGGGCTCCTCTGGTCGCTGCTGCTGGGGCCGCCTGGGCTGGCGGGTGGGGGAGGCGGAGAGCTCGATGCAGGTGCTGTCCTCCTCGCCACGACTCTGCTAGCTGTGCAGTAGCCCTCGCTCCGCCACTTAAAAAAGAAAAAAATATATATATATAATATATATACACGTGTTATATATATTGTATATTATGTATATACACGTATTATATATATACACGTATGTATATACACGTATATATATTATATATATTCATGTGTGTGTATATATTATATATACGTGTATACAGGTATATATGTATATATAATATATATACACGTGTATATATATTATATATATATATACGTGTGCCATGTTGGTTTGCTGCACCCATTAACTCGTCATTTACATTAGGTATTTCTCCTAATGCTATCCCTCCCCCAGCCCTCACCCCATGACAGGCCCTGGTGTGTGATGTTCCCCGTCCTGTGTCCAAGTGTTCTCATTGTTCAGTTCCCACCCATGAGTGAGAACATGCTTGCACCGCCGCTTCTAAATGTTTTAAAAACAGACACCAATGCCCTTCATTGGGGAAATGAAAGACTTTTAAGTAAAACGATTTTGAGTGAAATAATATTTGTTGTTTTAAAAAGTTAATATTAACCACTCTCCATCATATGTTGAAATTATCTTAAGATGTGAAAGTTAAAATTAGAAACCTTGTAAAGGAAAAATAGGAAATAGTTTCATGAACTTGACACAGGAAAATATTTCTTAGACTAGATACTGTAGCACTCACCACAATAAGAAATCAAGCGAATTGCACTTCATTTTTAAAAAGCTTCTCCTTATTATGTTGTTGTTTAACAACTTAAACGCTATCTCTAGACCAGGAATAATTATTTGCTATATAATACAGCAAAAAATATGTATGTATAAATGGACTCATTCAAAATATATAAAGAACTCCTATTACAAAGAAATTGACAAACAGCCCAGTATATCAATGAATATAAAAATTTGAGAAGATATTTTCCATAAGAAGATATCTAAATGAACATTAGGCATGAGAAAACCAAATTTTAGGATATCACTACACACCTGGCATAGTTTAAAAGACTGAAAATATTAAGTGTGTGGGAATGTAGAGCAACTGGAAATGGCCTACATCTTTCATAGAAATGTAAAACAATACAAATACTTTGCAAAACTCTGTCCAACATTTTCTACCCATTCACCAAGCAACTCCATCCCTAGCTATAGATACCCAGGAAAATAAGTATGTATCTTCACAGAAATAATTGTATGAGAATATTCATAGTTACTTATGCACAGTAGTTATCAAGTAAACCTGTCTCCCATCAGAAAAATGGATATCAAATTGTGTGATAATCATACAATCAATAGGATATTACTTGGCCAAAACAAAATGAAACAAGGGAAAAACACAATCAAACAAATTAGTGGCATATATACCCACTTGAGTAAAGAGAAGTCGGCCGGGCGCAGTGGCTCACGCCTGTAATCCCAGCACTTTGGGAGGCCGAGGCGGCAGATCACGAGGTCAGGAGATCGAGACCATCGTGGCTAACACAGTGAAACCCCGTCTCTACTAAAAATACAAAAAAAGAAAAAAAAAAAGAAAAGAAAAATTAGCCAGGCGTGGTGGCGGGCGCCTGTATTCCCAGCTACTTGGGAGTCTGAGGCAGGAGAATAGCGTGAACCTGGGAGGCAGAGCTTGCAGTGAGCCTAGATCGCGTCACTGCACTCCAGCCTGGGAGACAGAGTGAGACTCTGTCTCAAAAAAAAAAAAAAGTCAAAACAAGAGAACATACTAAATGATTCCATTTTTTTATTTATGACTTCATGACTACCATTAAGAAAATATAACCTGTTGGGAAACTGTTTCTGCCTTGATGATGTTGTACAGACAAGAGATAAACAGTGAGGAATGTGCTTAGATGTATTGGGAAAGACACGGGTCTGTGGCATTGTCACAAGGGTACACGAATACTGAGAGTGAATGCTGAAGGAATGATCCCCATTGGTGGTGACCCTCAGGTGAGACTAGGGTGCCTGTGTTTCAGCAAAGCCTGGGCAATTGGAATGCAGGGCTCCTAAGATTCCATGACACCCCCACCTTCTAATTCTGTTATTGCAACTGCAGACCGTTACCTGGCACGCTGGCCACAATCTACCTCACTCTTATCAGAGTCTGAGCTACTGGCAGTGCTTTCAGCTCTGAGTTGAGGCACCTCGAACCTTGTTTTTGTGGTGAAGGATCCTAAAGTGCTGTGGGAGTGATCACATTTTTCACAACAGTAAGGTAAGAATTTCAGTTACTGACATCCCTCAGTCCTGATTAAACCTATTTGATTTCACCAGTTTTTAACCCATCATATGTTTGAGTTTCTTCTCCCCAGTCCCTGACTCCACCTCTTCTGCCACAAACGTCAGCATGGTGGTATCAGCCGGCCCTTGGTCCAGCGAGAAGGCAGAGATGAACATTCTAGAAATCAACGAGAAATTGCGCCCCCAGTTGGCAGAGAACAAACAGCAGTTCGTAAACCTCAAAGAGATGTTTTCTAACTCAACTGGCCGGCTTCCTGGCCAACCGACAGAAGAAATACAGTAAGATCTATAGGCTCACCGTCATGAAAGTGATGAATGATGTCCTGTCTTCTCTCTGAGACACTAAATGCTCTCTCCATCAAAAATAATTTCATCCTTCCTGTACTTCTAGGAAAACAGAAATGGGTATTTTAACATTTTGTTAAAGTTGGAAGACAGAGGTACCAAAGTATTTAGCAACTTTCCATGTTTGCAATCAGATGGGGGTGGGACTAGAGTTAAACTCACAGTTATTGATTTCTAACACAGGCACAGAACGACCTGTTTTCTCCAAGAGGCTCAATCATGTTTTCAAGAATCCTCTCTGTACCATATAAGATCCTGCAGACAAATAACATGTAGTCTGTTGTTCTAAATGTCTAGGACTAGTGAACTTTTATTCAGTTCAAGTTTCTGTTGAGGCCCAACAGGCAAAGCTCTGTTCTAGTGACTCTGAGGGGAACTTGGTGATAGTACCCAGTACCTGCTCTGAGGGGCTTCAAGAGGAGTCTGCTCCTAATAGAACCTGTGCTATCTATAAGTGACAGCATCAAGAGCAGGGAGTAGGGGCCGTGCAACATGGCTCACTCCTGTAATCTCAGCACTTTGGGAGGCTGAGGCGGGCAGAGCACGAGGTCAGCAGTTTGAGACTAGCCTGGGCAACATGGAGAAACCCCATCTCCACTAAAAATACAAAAAGTAGATGGGCGTCGTGGCGGGCAACTGTAATCACCACTAATCGGGAGGCTGAGGCAGAAGAATCCTTTGAACCCAGCAGGCAGATGTTGCAGTGAGCCAAGATTGCACTATTGCACTCCAGCATGGGTGACAGGGCAAGACTCGTCAAAAAACAAACAAAACAAAAAGATAAATAAATCAAAAATAAAAATAAAAAGCAGAGAGTAGCTTGGTGAGAGTGAAGTCCTGCTTCCTGGTGCACAGGCTCTTGTTCCTAAAGAGGAAGAAAGATCACACCCGAGAATGTGTGGAAGCAGCAGTGCAGTGTGCAAAGCAGGGACCCTCAGCCTGTCTCCTGGGCTCCATCCAAGTTCCTTGTCTTGTCTGTCCCTCAGTTTCCTCATCTGTTCAGAGGGTACTACAATAATACCTACCTCTGTAAATTGCTGCAATGAATTACATGAGGCATTTCCTGTCAATCTCCTTGAACATTAATTGGCACAGTGTAAACACTATCTATTAGTTCTTCATTCTGATGTTTCTAAATTAACACAAACTAATCTTATGCTGTTTCTAAATTAACACAACGAATCTAAATCTTAATGCTGCCTCTCATACTAATAAAGTATTTGGGCATATTTCCTTCATGGCCTTATTGTCTTATGTCTCACACTTTATGCTTCAGATATGATTCTTAAAACCATATCTGAATATTGATTTAAAAATGAAATATTTTTAAAGTCCTTGACATATTTGTCCTTGAAATACCCAGTAAAAGGGAAACCATCAGTCCCATAGTCCTAGGGACCTTCCCGACTGTACAAGAAATCACTACTTCATGCCCCAGTGCAGTGTTTTAGAGGAGAGGCTGCAAGGCTTGGGAAAGTGGCCCCGCATTCGGAGTCAGACCTCAGGGGCTGTGAGTTCTGACTCCGCTTCGTTGTGGTTGAATCATCTTGTCAACTTCCTTGACACGCCCTTGAGTTTCTCTTTCTTCGTCTTTAAATTTTGGAGGATCAGATGCCAGAAAGTCAGGAGACTGAAGAGTAAAGATGTGGAAATCCCTGTCTAGACCCTGGTACTGGGGAGAGTTTTGTCCTTGGGATGGACCTGGCTCCTGCCCTGTAGGCAGTGACCACAGCAGCATGTCCAGCCTTCAACTGAGGCAGGCGTGTCTGTCTTTTCTCAGAGTATGAAGAGTGTAAAGACCTCATAAGATTTATGCTGAGGAATGAGCGACAGTTCAAGGAGGAGAAGCTTGCAGAGCAGCTCAAGCAAGCTGAGGAGCTCAGGTGAGGGGAACCCGTAGGGGGAGGCAGGCGGGTAGGTGTGTAGATCTCTGAAGTACAGCAGCTCGGCGGGGAGAAGTAAGAATGAAGCTGGGCCAGGGGAAGGGCAGAAATTGCCATGGCAGGCTCATGACACACAAATATTTATCAGAGAACAAGGATAATAATAAGTTCTGTGTTGCAGTTGTTTCTTAGAGCCTTGTTTTCTCTTTTTCAAACAAGTAATTGTTGAGGTGAAATTTACATAACACAAAATTCACCAAAGGAGTGGGAACCACCCAGCAGCATTCAGTATAATCAAAATGGTGTGCTATCGCCACCCCACTTACCCTTAGTGAGAATCACCTTCTGACTGACTGCGTCTTCTCATTCTTTCACTCAATCAATGTTGCCTTCTTGACCCTGTCATTCTTTTCTTCTTTCATCTTTTCAATTCGCCCCATCTGCACCTGGCCTCATTTCTGTACATGACTTTGTATCTAGTGGCCGCAAGATGCACTATGTGTATTTTCACATGGAAATGCCCATGGCCAGAGTGAGGAACTGAAAGGATGTCTTTGAAACGGAATTAGGAAGACACCTACTTTTGTTTACAGAAGAGAAAGATGAATGGAACATCATCGAGGATCTTGCAGGAGCCCTCTCTGATACAGGGAAAGCCTGTAGACCATTTTCTGTTCTTTCTCTTGGCCACAGACATTCCTTTCAACATGTGCTGACCTTCTGCTTGAAGGTCTCCTTGTGAACATTGTCTCAGAAATCTCTGTTGCAATATTTGAACGGATCACTCAACCCTTTCTACTCTTAAATTTTCTCTACCGTCTCACCTTAGGCAATATAAAGTCCTGGTTCACTCTCAGGAACGAGAGCTGACGCAGTTAAAGGAGAAGTTACGGGAAGGGAGAGATGCCTCCCGCTCATTGAATGAGCATCTCCAGGCCCTCCTCACTCTGGATGAGCCGGACAAGTCCCAGGGGCAGGACCTCCAAGAACAGCTGGCTGAGGGGTGTAGACTGGCACAGCACCTTGTCCAAAAGCTCAGCCCAGGTAAGGTGGCCATAGGCCCTGATGACCCAAAACCCCAGGCTTATGAGAGGCTCCAGATCTCCATACTTTCACAATGACAGTTGTATCAGTGGGGTTTTTTTCTGCTACACCTATGTGGCCATGACATGACCAGGACTTCCTGGGTAAGAACAGAGATGGGAAACCCATGGTTTGGAGGTCACAGTATTGCAAGTGTCCCTCCTTCCTTGATGGAAGGTGGTCTTTGGAGCAAGAGGCAGCATCTATCTAGTTTTAAAGGACAAGAAGGAGGCTGTGATGGGAGGGCGCTTGTTGGAGTGAAAAGAGCTCTGGGCTAAGAATGAAGGTTCCCAGGCTGTCTTTTTGGCAATGTTCTTAGTAAGTGTCGGTGAGTGAGTGATTTATCTTTCCAGAGTTTCTCTCTCTCCATCTGCAAAGGCAGACAAATTGTCTCTTGCAAGGGTCTGAAGCATCCAAATATGGGAACACTTACGAATGCTTTTCAAAATGAGATGAAGCCCCTCTCCATGTGGTGTTGGAGAAGGCACTTGATGTGGGGGCATTTGGTGGTAGGAAGTGCTTCAGACTGGAGCACTCCCCATGGATAGAATGTCCCTGAATAACACAGCAGAAGCCACATGGAGGGCCTGTGCAGTCTCATGACGCATAGAGGACTGTGGGACAAGTTTGTCCTCTCCTAAGAGAAAGAATGAGGTTTGAAATGCGAACTGTGACAGGACACCAAGCCTGTTCCTGGGAATCAGATCTGTGGCAGGATGGGGGAGACAGCTGCCAAAGTCCAGAGAGAGGCTACACAAGCCTCCAGTGATATGGGAAGCAAAAGGTCTTTTCAGTATTTGGCCACATCTTGATGGTGGCCCTCCACATCAGAAATGCATTGCCCGATGGACCAGGAAACCATGCCAGGGCATTTTGTGAAAGATAAAACATGAGAGTTTTCAGTACAATGCTGAACCATACATAGATGTTCATGTCTCTGTGCACGTTGGGCTGACTGTGCTTGCAGAATGTGAAGTGGGAAGTATCTGAACGAACATTTTGTATTTATAGAAAATGACGAAGATGAGGATGAAGATGTTCAAGTTGAGGAGGATGAGAAAGTGCAGAAATCATCTGCCCCCAGGTAACACTGAATACTCAGGAGCAAGTAATGGGTGGTAACATATGAAAATGTCTAGGAGGCACAACCTCTCTGGCATCTATGGTGGACCAAAAGCCCGCATCCCCTTGGCCACAGTATGTGAAATTGAACCCAGCTTAGACACAGGGTGCGGCAGCTGTCGTGTTTCTCTATGTGTGCCAAGTGTCATGTCTGTACCATACAGGGATAGCTGAGTCTTCATCCTCCTCAGCTCCTATCTGTCCAGTGCACTGAATACCAGCTGCTCTCTTCCTCTCTGGCTCCCATGGCAGCCATGGTCTGTTGCAGAGAGAAGAGGATTGCCTGTTTCCTCTTTAAGGGAACCTCCATTTTGCTTTCTGGAACCACTCTCTTAATGCCACCTGTCAAAACCAGCTAGGACTCCCTGGGGTCCAATCCCTCTGTGTTTAATCTTCTGTCATCTCTGTCCCACCTGGCTCATCAGGGAGGTGCAGAAGGCTGAAGTGAGCAAAGTCCCTGAGGACTCACTGGAGGAATGTGCCATCACTTGTTCAAATAGCCACGGCCCTTGTGACTCCAACCAGCCTCACAAGAACATCAAAATCACATTTGAGGAAGACGAAGTCAACTCAACTCTGGTTGTAGACAGAGAATCCTCTCATGATGAATGTCAGGATGCTCTAAACATTCTCCCAGGTAGCCTCTATTTTCCTTGTGTCTCATACCTCTGTCTAGGCTATGGAAGATTAATTCTGAGGACAGGCTGTATATACACATATTGTTATTGTTTTAGTCAGAAACTAGGATGGAGCTAGGTGCTGTGACTCACACATATAATCACAGCACTTTGGAAGGCCCAAGTGGGACGATGACTTGAGTTCAGGAGTTGAAGACCAGCCTGGACAATATGGTGAAACCCATCTTTACAAAGAATACAAAAAATTAGGCAGGCATGGTGCTGCATGCCTATAGTCCCAACTGCTCAGGAGACTTAGGTGGGAGGATCGGCTGAGACGATCCTCCCACGCTCGTTCACTCCTCTCAGGCTAGACTCTCTCTCCTTTTCATTGGCTTGTCTTAGCTATTAATAAGAAGTCTCGGCCTGGCGCGGTGGCTCACACATGTAATCCGAGCACTTTGGGAGGCCGGGGCGGGTGGATCACGAGGTCAGGAGATCGAGACCATCCTGGCTAACACGGTGAAACGCCGTCTTTACTAAAAATACAAAAAAAAAAAAAAAAAATTAGCTGGGCGCGGTGGTGGGCGCCTGTAGTCCCAGCTACTCAGGAGGCTGAGACAGGAGAATGGCATGAACCCAGGAACCGGAGCTTGCAGTGAGCCGAGATTGTGCCACTGCACTCCAGCCTGGGAGACAGAGCGAGACTCCATCTCAAAAAAAAAAGTAAGTCTCTGACCAGGGGCGCTGGCTCACATCTTAATCCCAGCACTTTGGGAGGCTGAGGTGGGCAGAACACCTGAGGTCAGGAGTTCGAAACCAGCCTGTCCAAGATGGCGAAACCCCATCTCTACTAAAAATACAAAAATTAGCTGGCATGTTACTTGGCGCTTGTAATCCCAGATGCTTGGCAGGCTGAGGGATGAGAATCGCTTGAACCCGGGCGGCAGAGGTGGCAGTGAGCTGAGATTGTGCCTCTGCACTGCAGCCTGCACGACAGAGTGAGACTCCGTCTCAAACAAAAAACAAAAAACCAAAAAAGAAAAAAATTAAAAAAGCAAAATGAAATCTTTTGTGCTACACAGAAACATTGGCCACTCATGGGGTAAAAATCTCAGGGCCAAGCCTTGCTTTATAGAAACTTATAAGCAAGAAAAGTGTAGAAGTGTTTATGTCCTGGTTTCAAGGTGACTGCATAGCTGAGACAAGTTGACTTAAAGGAGATCAAGACTGGAGATGACAAGAGTGAAACCAGGGAAACATCATCTTCAAATAAGTAAACAAGGCTGCCAGTGACATCCCTCAGTCCTGATTAAGCCTATTTGATTTCACCAGTTTTTAACCCATCATGTGTTTGCCTTTCTTCTCCCCAGTCCCTGGCCCCACCTCTTCTGCCACAAACGTCAGCATGGTGGTATCAGCCGGCCCTTTGTCCAGCGAGAAGGCAGAGATGAACATTCTAGAAATCAATGAGAAATTGCACCCCCAGCTGGCAGAGAAGAAACAGCAGTTCAGAAACCTCAAAGAGAAATGTTTTCTAACTCAACTGGCCGGCTTCCTGGCCAACCAGCAGAACAAATACAGTAAGATCTACAGGCTCACCATCATGAAAGTGATGAATGATATCCTGTCTTCTCTCTGAGACACTAAATGCTCTCTCCATCAAAAATAATTTCATCCTTCCTGTACTTCTAGGAAAACAGAAATGGGTATTTTAACATTTTGTCAAAGTTGGAAGACAGAGGTACCAAAGTATTTAGCAACTTTCCATGTTTTCAATCAGGTGGGGGTGGGACTAGAGTTAAACTGCCATTTATTGATTTCTGACACAGGCACAGAATGACCTGTTTTCTCCAAGAGGCTCAATCGTGTTTTCAAGAATCCTCTCTACCATATAAGATCCTGCAGACAAATAACATCTAGTCTGTTGTTCTAAATGTCTGAGACTAGTGAACTTTTATTCAGTTCAAGTTTCTGTTGAGGCCCAACAGACAAAGCTCTGTTCTAGTGACTCTGAGGGAAACTTGGTGATAGTAGCCAGTACCTGCTCTGAGGGCTTCAAGAGGAGTCTATTCCTAATAGAACCTGTGCTGTCTATAAGTGACAGCATCAAGAGCAGGGAGTAGGGGCCGTGCATGGTGGCTCACTCCTGTAATCCCAGCACTTTGGGAGGCTGAGGCGGGCAGATCATGAGGTCAGGAGTTTGGGACCAGCCTGGGCAACATGGAGAAACCCCATCTTCACTAAAAATACAAAAAGTAGATGGGCGTGGTGGCAGGTGACTGTAATCACCCCTGCTCAGGAGGCTGAGGCAAGAGAATCCTTTGAACCCAGGAGGCTGAGGTTGCAGTGAGCCAAGGTTTTGCCATTGCACTCCAGCCTGGGCGACAGGGCAAGACTGTTAAAAATAATAATAATAATAATGATAAATAAAAATAAGAATAAAAAGCAGAGAGTAGCTTGGTGAGAGTGAAGTCCTGCTTCCTGGGGCACAGATTCTTGTTGCTAAAGAGGAAGAAAGATCCCACCCGAGAATGTGTGGAGATAGCAGTGCAGTGTACAGAGCAGGGACCGTGGGTCTGTCTCCTGGGATCCATCCAAGTTGCTTGTCTTGTCTGTCCCTCAGTTTCCTCACCTGTTCAGAGGGTACTACAATAATACCTACCTCTGTAAATTGCTGCAGTGAATTACATGAGCTATTTCTTGTCAGTCTCCTAGAACATTTATTGGCACACAGTAAACACTATCTATTAGTTCTTCATTCTGCTGTTTCTAAATTAACACAAACTTTATTAGCATTTGGGCATATTTCCTTCATGGCCTTATGGTGTTATGTGTCACACTTTATGCTTCAGATATGATTCTTAAAATCATAACTGAAGATATGATTTAAAAATCAAAGATTTTAAAAATCTTTCGCATACTTGTCCTTGAAATTCCCAGTGAAAGGGAAACCATCAGTCCCATAGTCCTAGGGGCCTTCCCGACTGTACAAGAAATCACTACTTCATGCCCCAGTGCAGTGTTTTAGAGGAGAGGCTGCAAGGCTTGGGAAAGTGGCCCCGCATTCAGAGTCAGACCTCAGGGACTGTGAATTCTGACTCCACTTCGTTGTGGTTGAATCATCTTGTCAACTTCCTTGATGTGCCCTTGAGGTTCTCTTTCTTCATCTCCAAATTTTGGAGGATTAGATGCCAGAAAGTCAGGAGACTGAAGAGTAAAGATGTGGAAATCCCTGTCTAGACCCTGGTACTGGGGAGAGTTTTGTCCTTGGGATGGACCTGGCTCCTGTCCTGTAGGCAATGACCACAGCAGCATGTCCAGCCTTCCACTGAGGCAGGCGTGTCTGTCTTTTCTCAGAATATGAAGAGTGCAAAGATCTCATAAAATCTATGCTGAGGAATGAGCGACAGTTCAAGGAGGAGAAGCTTGCAGAGCAGCTCAAGCAAGCTGAGGAGCTCAGGTGAGGGGACCCCATGGGGGCAGGCAGGGGGGCAGGTGTGTAAATCTCTGAAGTACAGCAGCTCGGTGGGGAGATGTAAGAGCTAAGCTGGGCCAGGGGAAGGGCAGGAATTGCCATGGCAGGCTCGCTACACACAAATATTTATCAAACAGAGAAGGAGGATAGTAAAAATGTATGGGTTGCAGTTGTTTCTCAGAGCCTTGTTTTCTCTTTTTCAAACAAGTAATTGTTGATGTGAAATTTACATAACACAAAATTAACCAAAGGAGTGTGAACCACACAGCAGCATTCAGTATACTCAAAATGGTGTGCCATCACCACCCCACTTACCCTTAGTGAGAATCACCTCCTGACTGACTGCGGCTTCTCATTCTTTCACTCAATCAATGTTGCCTTCTCGACCCTGTCATTCTTTTCTTCTTTCGTCTTTTCAATTCGCCCCATCTGCACCTGGCCTCATTTCTGTACATGGCTTTGTATCTAGTGGCCGCAAGATGCACTATGTGTATTTTCACATGGAATTGTCCATGGCCAGAGTGAGGAACTGAAAGGATGTCTTTTTGAAATGGAATTAGGAAGACACCTACTTTTGTTTACAGAAGAGAAAGATGAATGGAACATCATCGAGGATCTTGCAAGAGCTCTCTGTGATACAGAGGAAGCCTGTAAACCATTTTCTATTCTTTCTCTTGGCCACAGACATTCCTTTCAACATGTGCTGACCTTCTGTTTCAAGGTCTCCTTGAGGACATTGTCTCAGAAGTCTCTGTTGCAATATTTGAGCGGATCACTCAACCCTTTCCACTCTTAAATTTTCTCTACCGTCTCACCTTAGGCAATATAAAGTCCTGGTTCACACTCAGGAACGAGAGCTGACCCAGTTAAGGGAGAAGTTGCGGGAAGGGAGAGATGCCTCCCGCTCATTGAATGAGCATCTCCAGGCCCTCCTCACTCCGGATGAGCCGGACAAGTCCCAGGGGCAGGACCTCCAAGAACAGCTGGCTGAGGGGTGTAGACTGGCACAGCACCTTGTCCAAAAGCTCAGCCCAGGTAAGGTGGCCATAGGCCCTGATGACCCAAAATCCCAGGCTTATGAGAGACTCCAGACCTCCATACTTTCACAATGACAGTTGTATCAATGGTGTTTTTTTCCACTAAGCTTATGTGGCCATGATATGACCAGGACTTCTTGGGTAAGAACGGAGATGGGAAACCCATGGGGTTGGAGGTCACAGTATTGCAAGTGTCCCTCCTCCCTTGATGGAAGGTGGTCTCTGGAGCAAGAGGCAGCATCTGTCTAGTTTTAAAGGACAGGAAGGAGGCTGTGATGGGAGCAGGCTTGTTAGAGTGAAAAGAGCTCTGGACTAAGAATGAAGGTTCCCAGGCTGTCTTTTCGGCAATGTTCTTAGTAACTGTCAGAGAGTGAATGACTTGTCCTTCCTGAGTTTCTCTCTCTCTGTGGCAGACAAATTGTCTCTTGCAAGGGTCGAAGCATTCAAATGTGGGAACACTTACAACTGCTTTCCAAAATGAGATGAAGGCCCTCGCCGTGTGATGTTGGAGAAGGCACTTTATGTGGGGGCGTTTTGTGGTAGGAAGTGCTTCAGACTGGAGCGCTCCCCATGGATAGAATGTCCCTGAAGAACACAGCAGAAGCCACTTGGAGGCTTGAAATCTTCTGATGCATAGAGGACTGTGGGACATGTTTGTCTGCTTCTAAGAGAAAGAATTAGGTTTGAAATGCAAACCGTGACAGGACACCAAGCCTGTGCCTGGGAATCAGATCTGGCAGGATGGGGGAGACAGCTGCCAACGTCCAGAGAGAGGCTGCACAAGCCTCCAGTGATATGGGAAGCAAAAGGTCTTTTCAATATTTGGCCACATCTTGATGGTGGCCCTCCAGATCAGAAATGCATTGCCTGATGGATCAGGAAACCATGCCAGGGCATTCTGTTAAAGATAAAACATGAGAGTTTTCAGTTGAACGGTGACCCATGCCTAGATGTTCATGTCTCTGTTGCACATTGGGCTGACTGTGCTTGCAGACTGTGAAGTGGGAAATATCTGAACGAACACTTCTGTATTTACAGAAAATGACAACGATGACGATGAAGATGTTCAAGTTGAGGTGGCTGAGAAAGTGCAGAAATCGTCTGCCCCCAGGTAACACTGAATACTCAGGAACAATTAATGGATGGTAACATATGAGGAATATCTAGGAGGCACACCCTCTCTGGCATCTATGATGGGTCAAAAACCCGCATTCGCTTGGCCACAGTATGTGAAATATAACCCAGCTTAGACACAGGGTGCGGTAGCTGTCATGTTTCTCTATGTGTGCCGAGTGTCATGTCTGTACCGTACAGGGATAGCTGAGTCTTCATCCTCCTCAGCTCCTATCTGTCCAGTGCAATGAACAGCAGCTGCTCTCTTCCTCTCTGGTTCCCATGGCAGCCATGCTCTGTTGCAGAGAGAACAGGATTGCATGTTCCCTCTTAATGGGAACCTCCATTTTGCTTTCTGGGACCACTCTCTTAATGCCGCCTGTCAAAACCAGCTAGGACTCCCTGGGGTCCAATCCCTCTGTGTTTAATCTTCTGTCATCTCTGTCCCACCTGGCTCATCAGGGAGATGCAGAAGGCTGAAGAAAAGGAAGTCCCTGAGGACTCACTGGAGGAATGTGCCATCACTTATTCAAATAGCCATGGCCCTTATGACTCCAACCAGCCACATAGGAAAACCAAAATCACATTTGAGGAAGACAAAGTCGACTCAGCTCTCATTGGCTCATCCTCTCATGTTGAATGGGAGGATGCTGTACACATTATTCCAGGTAGCCTCTGTTTTCCTTGTGTCTCATACCTCTCTCTAGGCTGAGGAAGATAAACTCTGAAGACAGGCTCTATAAACACAAATTCATTTGAATAAAAAACTGTGATGGGTTTCTAAACAGATATCAGGGAGTTTTTTTGTCCTTCACAGCTAATGTCATGACTTTGTCTGCCAGTCCCCAGTATCAAGTTACTCAACCCCAGGCAAGTGTGACAATCTCATAGTCACCTGAGTGCAGGAGGTGCACAGGCAGTATCTGTCAGGCCTCCTAGCTTCGATTCAGTATCTCTTGTCATCTGTGATTAAGTCATCTGTCCCTGAACAATGTCCATGGAGTTTCTATGCCTGTTTAAGGAAGCTGGCAGCCTTGCCTTTGTATTTGGAATTATTGTTCCCCAGGCTTCACTGCTCTCAGCTTTCATCTGGATCTCCTTTAAGTCAGCTTGCTTAGCTGCACAGTCACCCTGAAATCAGTACGGAAACTTTTCTTCTTTACTTTGCTGATATATTTCCATAAAGCAAGGCTGGACCCTGGTTCTCCACCCTGTCAATGCAATGGCTGATCCAATGTTTCTTTGTAGCATCGTGGATTTTTTTTTTTTTTTTTTTTTTTTTTTTTTTTTTTTTTTGCGATGGAGTCTTGCTCTGTCACCCAGGCTGGAGTGCAGTGGCACCATCTTGGCTTGGTGCAACGTCTGCCTCCCAGATTCAAGTGATTCTCCTGCCTCAGCCTCCTGAGTTGCTGGGACCACAGGTGCACAACATCACATCTGGCTAATTTTTGTATTTTTAGTAGAGACAGGGTTTCCCCATGTTGGCCAGGGTAGTCCTGAACTCATGACCTCAAATGATTCACCTGTCTTGGCCTCCCAAATCACAGATTCTTTTTAAAGCAAGAGTTGTTCAAATTTATCTATCAGTCGTGTTTCATGTATAGATGCCTCTAAACATTTAATGTCCATGTTACCTGGTGATATAAGTCCATATCGCAGCAACACTCTTAGAAAATTGTTTTACCAATTTTTGGAGATTTTTTTGGGGAAAAAATTTTGTTTAACTTTGACTCAAGCAGGGAATATGGCATTATGGTCTACATGTAGAGGGAGATTTTGGCCTGTGGGTCTGGAAAGCAGGGTCATCTAATTCTCACCAAAGTTAATCTAGGACAACCTAGAATATTCCTGTCAGAATCCTTATTCTTGCACTGAGAATAGTTATGTCCTTGTGCTATGATTGGACAGTGATTTGTTCATATGTGAAGTATGAATTGCTTAATGTGACCTGCTTCTCTGAATTTATTTACAGAAAATGAAAGTGATGATGAGGAAGAGGAAGAAAAAGGGCCAGTGTCTCCCAGGTAATGTTGTGGAATTGTTGGCTGTTAATTCAGTAGTGACATCTGGAGATTGTAGATTTAGGGAAAATGAGGAAGTGATGAATAGAACTATTTCTTCCATTCACCCAGCTACAAATTGTGCTGATTTACAATGTTGTATGTTATTTGTGGCACTTGTATTGGTTTTAATTTCATAGTCCTCTCAAGATAGGAACTTGCCATCAGATGAGCCAGGTGAACTAGCCAAACAGGGTTTTCTTGTTGATCTTTTCAAAAAACCAGCCCTGGATTCATTGATTTTTTGAAGGGTTTTTTGTGTCTCTATCTCCTTTAGTTCTGCTCTGATCTTAGTTACTTCTTGTCTTCTGCTAGCTTTTGAATTTGTTTGCTTTGCTTCTCTCGTTATTTTAATTGTGATGTTAGGGTGTCAATTTTAGATCTTTTCTGCTTTCTCTTGTGGGCATTTAGTGCTATAATTTTCCCTCTACACATTGCTTTAAATGTGTCCCAGAGATTCTGGTATGTTGTGTCTTTTTTCTCATTGGTTTCAAAGAACATCTTTATTTCTGCCTTCATTTTGTTATTTTCCCAGTAGTCATTCAGGAGCAGGTTGTTCAGTTTCCATGTAGTTGTGCGGTTTTGAGTGAGTTTCTTAATCCTGAGTTCTAATTTGATGGCACTGTGGTCTGACAGTTCGTTGTGATTTCCATTCTTTTACATTTGCTGACGAGTGCTTTACCTCCAACTATGTGGTCAATTTTGGAATAAGTGTGATGTGGTGCTGAGAAGAATGTATATTCTGTTGATTTGGGGTGGAGGGTTCTGTAGATGTCTTTTAGGTCTGCTTGGTGGAGAGCTGAGTTCAAGTCCTGGATATCCTTGTTAAGCTTCTGTCTCATTGATCTGTCTAATATTGACACTGGGGTGTTAAAGTCTCCCATTATGATTGTGTGGAGTCTAAATCTCTTTGTAGGTCTCTCAGGACTTGCTTTATGAATCTGGGTGCTCCTGTATAGGGTGCATATATATTTAGGATAGTTAACTCTTCTTGTTGAATTGATCCCTTTACCATTATGTAGTGGCCTTCTTTGTCTCTTTTGATCTTTGTTGGTTGAAAGTCTGTTTTATCAGAGACTAGGATTGCAACCCCTGCCTTTTTTTGTTTTCCATTTGCTTGGTAGATCTTCCTCCATCCCTTTATTTTGAGCCTATGTGTGTCTCTGCATGTGAGATGGGTTTCCTGAGTACAGCACACTGATGGGTCTTGACTCTTTATCCAATTTGCCATTCTGTGTTTTTTAACTGGGGCATTTAGCCCATTTACATTTAAGGTTAATATTGTTATGTGTGAATCTGATCCTGTCGTTATGATGTTAGCTGGTTATTTCGCCCGTTAGTTGATGCAATTTCTTCCTAGCGTCAATGGTCTTTACAGTTTGGCATGTTTTTGCAGTGGCTGGTACCGGTTGTTCCTTTCCATGTTTAGTGCTTCCTTTAGGAGCTCTTGTAAGGCAGGCCTGGTGGTGACAAAATCTCTCAGCATTTGCTTCTCTGTAAAGGATTTATTTCTCCTTCACTTATGAAGCTTTGTTTGGCTGGATATGAAATTCTTGGTTGAAAATTCTTTTCTTTAAGAATGTTGAAGATGCTGGAGAGGATGTGGAGAAATAGGAACACTTTTACACTGTTGGTGGGACTGTAAACTAGTTCAACGATTGTGGAAGGCAGTGTGGCAATTCCTCAGGGATCTAGAACTAGAAATACCATTTGACCCAGCCATCCCATTACTGGGTGTATACCCAAAGGATTATAAATCATGCTGCTGTAAAGACACATGCACACATATGTTTATTGCGGCACTATTCACAATAGCAAAGACTTGGAACCAAGCCAAATATCCAGCAATGATAGACTGGATTAAGAAAATGTGGCACATATACACCATGGAATACTATGCAGCTATAAAAAATGATGAGTTCATGTCCTTTGTAGCGGCATGGATGAAGCTGGAAACCATCATTCTCAGCAAACTATTGCAAGGACAAAAAACCAAATACCGCATGTTCTTACTCACAGGTGGGAATTGAACAATGAGAACACATGGACACAGAAAGGGGAACATCACACACTGGGGCCTGTTGTAGGGTGGGGGGAGGGAGGAGGGGTAGCATTAGGAGATATACCTAATGTTAAATGATGAGTTAATGGGTGAAGCACACCAATGTGGACATGTATACATATGTAACTAACCTGCACGTTGTGCACATGTACCCTAAGACTTAAAGTATTAAAAATATATATATATATATATATATACATACACACAAAAAATAATAAAGGAAAACTATACATATGGAAAAAAAAAAGAATGTTGAATATTGCTCCCACTCTCTTCTGGCTTGTAGGGTTTGTGCCAAGAGATCTGCTGCTAGTCTGATGGGTTTCCCTTTGTGGGTAATCCGACCTTTCTCTCTGGCTGCCCTTAGCATTTTTTCCTTCATTTCAACCTTGGTGAATCTGACAATTACGTGTTTTGGGGTTGCTCTTCTCGAGGAGTATCTTTATGGTGTTCTCTGTGTTTCCTGAATTTGAATGTTGGCCTTCCTTGCTAGGTTGGGGAAGTCCTCCTGGATAATATCCTGAAGAATGTTTCCCAGCTTGGTTCCATTCTCCCCGTCACTTTCAGTACACCAATCAAACGTAGATTTGGTCTTTCCACATAGTCCCATATTTATTGGAGGCTTGTTCATTTCTTTTTACTCTTTTTTCTCTAAACTTCTCTTCTCGCTTCATTTCACTAATTTGATCTTGAATCACTGATACCGTTTCTTGCACTTGATCGAATTGGCTACTGAAGCTTGTGCATGCATCACATAGTTCTCGTGCCATGGTTTTCAGCTCCATCAGGTCATTTAAGGTCTTCTCTACACTGTTCATTCTGGTTAGCCATTCGTCTAATCTTTTTTCAAGGTTTTTAGCTTCCTTGCGATGAGTTCGCACATCCTCCTTTAGCTCAGAGAAGTTTGTTATTACCGACTTTCTGAAGCCTACTTCTGTCAGCTCATCAAAGTCATTCTCCATCCTGCTTTGTTCCATTGCTGGCGAGGAGCTGCGATCCTTTGGAGGAGAAGGGATGTCAGGTTTTTGGAATTTTCAGCTTTTGTGCTCTGGTTTCTCCCCACCTTTGTGGTTTTATCTACCCTTGGTCTTTGATGATGGCGACCTACAGATGGGGTTTTGGGGTGGATGTCTTTTTTGTTGATGTTGATGCTATTCCTTTCTGTGTGTTAGTTTTCCTTCTAACAGTCAGGTCCCTCAGCTTCAGGTCTGTTGGAGTTTGCTGGAAGTCCACTCCAGACCCTCAAACAGGGATTTCTTGGTGTTGCCTATTCTCTCCCATGTGTTTAAATCCAGGGAGAGGTGTATATATGCTTTCTTCCTATTTGTTGGTAGTATGTTGGCTAGTATTTTTGCAAGAAAAGAAATTGAAAAAGTAAATATATTATATCAAAATATTGGGAAAATGGGGCCCTTAATACACAAGATCTGTGTCTGCACTGCGTCAAGAACTCTCTTCACTTGAATGCTGCATGTAAAATTCAACCCAATTTATGCAAAGTAGTTGAAGCCCTGTGTCAGTTCTCTGTGCTGCAAGTCATGATGGTAGTTTACAGGGAGAGTCTGGGTGCCCTGAGTTGGCTCATCTGTGGCAAATGTACTGAGCACATGCTGCCCATTTTTGCTCTGTCCCCAGAGCAGTCACCCTCCACCCTGTATTTAGAAGGATAGTTTTATTTCTCTTGAAGGAAAAATGCCTTTGGTTTCTGTGACCACTCCATTCTGTCTCCCATCAGATCATCTGGGAGGTTTTGTTGTCTAATGTCTGTTGGTTAAATGTTCTATCATCCGTGTCCTGCCTGGCTCATCAGGAATCTGCAGGAGTCTGAAGAGGAGGAAGTCCCCCAGGAGTCCTGGGATGAAGGTTATTCGACTCTCTCAATTCCTCCTGAAATGTTGGCCTCGTACAAGTCTTACAGCAGCACATTTCACTCATTAGAGGAACAGCAAGTCTGCATGGCTGTTGACATAGGCAGTGAGTACTCCATTGTGAAGGTGATAAAGCTCCAGTTCATGGCCCAGGTAGACCCCATAATCTTTGGGCCTTGTGCCCCTTGTTGGGCTGAGATTTGCCATCACTGTGGGCTGAACCTATATATCAATGTAGATTTCAATCACTCTGGAGTCGAGTCTGAAGCACAGGCATGGGGTGGGTCAGTGAGCTTTGCTCTCTTCCTAGTCTCACGCCATGCCCGTGCCAACCTGGACTGACTGTCACGATATTGAACTCAAGGCAGGTGTGGCAAACTCACACCAAACTATGCAGCACATGCCCAGGAGTTGTCTGTCAGCTCAGCTCATCTGAATTAAATGTCTCTTGCCAGCTACAAAATTCCTTATGAGTTTTGTTCCCAAAGCATGTCTGTGTGGTTCTTTACCTGCCCAAGGCCAGTGTCACCCTTGTCTACCTCTCAGTGAAAGATGTGACCCAGGTTTCACTGAATTTATTCCCATTTTCTGTGTCTTCTAAGTTCGCTTGCTTTAGCTCATCTGTCCGTCATGTTCCTGGTATGTTTTCTAGATAAATGGCTGACTTTTCACCCACAAAAGCCATAATAGCTGATGCTTCTGTGTAGAACCAAGTTTCATTTTGACTCAAGAGCTGGTACATTGCACCCCCTCATCAAATCTCTGTGTCCACAATCTCATAAACTATCAAATTCTGGGTATTTGATGAGAGAAAGCTTAATATTGAAGTATCTCTCCTATGAGGTGTTAGAACTATTTGCCTACAATTTATTGGGGAAAAAATTGCTCATTTGTGTACATAAACCTAGGACAGAGCACATAGGGAAGATAACATTCCAACTCAGGGGAATTTTGCCCAAGGCTCATGAAAGAACCCAAGCCAGTTTTCTCAAGACTTGACCTCAGGCCTACTGGAATATTTCTCTCAAAGTCTCCTGTTCTCACATTGACAAGACTGATGTCCCTGTGTTAGGATTGGACAGAGGAATGTTTCTGTGTGCAAGGAAGAACTGCTTAATGTAAGAGGGCCCATATGAATTTATTTGCAGGACATCGGTGGAATCAAGTGAAAAAGGAGGACCAAGAGGCAACAGGTCCCAGGTGAGTCTGAGAAATTGTGGACAGTTAATTTGATGTTGACACCTGGAGATGCCAAGTCCAGGGAAAACAGTACATGCTGAAAATAATGATTTTGTCTTGTCAGACAAGTCTGAATTACGCCTACTACATTGCTTTTTGGTTCTCATTAGAGTAAATGTTTAGGTTTCCATTTCTTCCTACCCTTATCATTTACTAACCTAGTGAAAGTTGACCATACCTCAAAAGCTGTATTCTCATGGTAACTGCAGGGAAACTTGAGCACATTTTATGCAAAATTATTGAGGACAGGCTTTTCATGATCACTGTTCACTGTGTGTCCTGAGAGCACAAATACAGAGTGTCCTTTGACTCCCTCATCAGTGTGTCACCTGACCAATGCACTGAGCTCGAACTGTGTGTGTGTGTGTGTGTGTGTGTGTGTGTGTGTGTGTGTGTGTGTGTGTCTTTCTCTTTCATCCTTTTCTACCTGGCCCTAGTCTATCCCAACATAAAGGCAATAATTTGTTACCTCATTAATGGATCTGTCCTTTTTCTTTTCAAACTCTTCCTTATGTTAGCCATGAAATCTAGCTGGGGCTGTGTGGTTTCTGATTCCCCCTGGCTTACTCTTTACTTTTTCCCACTTTTCCAGGCTCAGCAGGGAGCTGCTGGATGAGAAAGGGCCTGAAGTCTTGCAGGACTCACTGGATAGATGTTATTCAACTCCTTCAGGTTGCCTTGAACTGACTGACTCATGCCAGCCCTACAGAAGTGCCTTTTACATATTGGAGCAACAGCGTGTTGGCTTGGCTGTTGACATGGATGGTGAGTACCTTTCTATGAAGGTGATAAGGATCCACTGAGTCTTCTGGTTAGGGTCATATTCCTACTGCAAGTGGCCCTTACTGAGCTGAGAGATGTCATTGCCACAGGGAGGACCTATAGGCACATGTAGGTTGAATGAAACTCTAGTTCCACTTGGAAGCCCAGACAAGGGATGGGTCAGTGAGCAAGGCTCTCTTCCTAGTCTCAGGCCATGCCTGTGGCGCCCTAATCCTACTCTCATGACATTGGACCTGGGCAGATGTGACAAATTCACACAACTCTGATTTTGTCTCAATTTTGTAGATCTTGTAGATTTCATCCTTCACTCTAATTTCAGCGTCTAAAATCCTCGCTACCATGAACAATCTGAGTATTTGATGAGACAGGGCTGAATAGTGCAGTTTTTCTCCTAGCAACCATTTGGGGGCATTTGCTTTAAATCGATTGGAAAAATATGGCATAACCATTTGCACAAACTTGGGACAAATGATATTGGGACAACGATCTACCAGAATAGGGAATTTTACCCACAGTTTCTGGGACAAAAACCAAGGAATCTCTATGGTGATCAGCCTTCAGGCCTCCTGAAGAATATCTCTCACAGTGTCCTATTCTCATGCTGAGGAGCCTGAAGTCCCTGTGTGAGGATTAGACAGTGGATTGTTATGTGTGTAGGAGAACCAGCTTAATATGTCTGTCCATGTCTGAACTTATTGCAGAAATTGAAAAGTACCAAGAAGTGGAAGAAGACCAAGACCCATCATGCCCCAGGTAACTTTGAGCAATTATGGATGCTTAATTCTGTGTTGACACCTGGAGATGCCAGGTCCAGGGAAAGCAAGAGTGTGTTCAATTTCATGTTTTCAACGAAGGTTGAATTACTCCTCCTGACATTGCTGTTGGTTTTCATTGCAGAAGATGTTTAGGTTTCCATTTCTTCCTCCCCTTATCATTTACTAACTTACTATAGGTTGACCATACCTCAAAGGCTGTATGGCAACTGCATGGAGTCTTGAGCAAGTTTATGGAAAATTATTGAGCCCACTCTTTTCATGATCACTGTTCGCTGTGTGTCCCGAGGGCACTAACTCAGAGTGTCCTTTGACCCCTTCATCAGTGTGTCACCCGGCCAATTCGCTGAGCTCACTTTCTCCTCTCTCTCTCTCTCCCTCTCCCTGTCTTTCTCTTTCATTCTTTTCTACCTGGCCCTGGTCTATCCCAACATAAAGGCAATAATTCATTACCTCATTAATGGATCTGTCCTTTTTCTTTTTAAACAGTTCCTTATGTTAGCCATGAAATCTAGCTGGGGCTGTGTGGTTTCTGATTCCCCTTGGCTTATTCTTTACTTTTTCCTACTTTTCCAGGCTCAGCAGGGAGCTGCTGGATGAGAAAGAGCCTGAAGTCTTGCAGGACTCACTGGATAGATGTTATTCGACTCCTTCAGGTTATCTTGAACTGCCTGACTTAGGCCAGCCCTACAGCAGTGCTGTTTACTCATTGGAGGAACAGTACCTTGGCTTGGCTCTTGACGTGGACAGTGAGTACCTTACTATGAAGGTGATAAGCCTCCACCTGGTCTTCCAGATAGGGGTGATATTCCTGTTCCAAGTGGCCCTTACTGACCCGAGAGATGTCATTGCCGCAGGCAGGACCTATGGGCGCATATAGGTTGTAATGAGACTGTAGTCTCAGCTGGAAGCCTAGACATGAAATGGGTCAGTGAGCAAGGCTCTATTCCTAGTCTCCAGCCATGCCTGTGGCAACCTGAGCCCGCTCTCAGCACATTGGACCCAGGCAGATGTAAAAAATTCACAGAAGTATGATTTGGACTCAAGGGTTTGTAGATTTCCTCCTTCATTCTAATTTCAGTGTCTCAAATTCTTGCATCCATGAACGAGCTGGGCATTTGATGAGACAGGGCTGAATACTGCAGTTTTCCTCCTAGAAATCATCTGGGGCATTTTCTTTGAACTGATGGGAACAATAAGGCATAACTGTTTGCACAAACTTGGGATAAATGATTTTGGGATAACGATCTACCAGAATGGGGATATTTCACCCTTGGTTCTGAGATGCAAACCAAAGAATATCATGACCAGCTTTCAGGCCTCCTGAAGTACATCTCTCACATTGTCCTGTTCTCATGCTGAGGAGCCTGAGATCCCTGTGTGGGGATTAGACAGTGGACTGTTATGGGTGTAGGTGAATTGGCTTATTTTGTCTGTCCCTGTCTGAATGTATTGCAGGAATTAAAAAGGACCAAGAAGAGGAAGAAGACCAAGGCCCACCATGCCCCAGGTAACTGAGCAATTGTGAACAGCTACTTCTGTGTTGACATCTGGAGACTCCTGGTTCAGGGAAAACAGAGCGGGCTGACATTATCGATTACATCTTTTCAACCAAGCCTGAATTATTCCTACTAACATTGCTGTTGGTTTTCATTGCAGTAGATATTTAGGTTTCCATTTCTTCCTCCCCTTCTCATTTACTAACCTACTGTAGGTGGACCAGACTTCAAAAACTGTATTCTCATGGCGACTGCATGGAAACTTGAGCACATTTTATGGAAAATTATTGAGCACAGTCTTTTCATGATCCCTGTATGCTGTGTGTCCTGAGGGCACTAACTCAGAGTGTCCTGTTACTCCCTCATCAGTGTGTCACCTGGACAATTCACTGAGCTCGTTCTCTCTGTGTGTGTGTGTGTGTGTGTGTGTGTGTGTGTGTGTGTGTGTGTGTCTGTCTGTCTTTCTCTTTCATTCTTTTCCATTTGGCCCTGTTCTGTCCCAACATGAAGGCAATAATTTGTTACCTCATTAATGGATCTATCCTTTTACTTTTTTAACCACTTCCTTATGCTACCCATGAAACCTAGTTGGGGCTCTGTTGTGTCTGATTTCCCCTGGCGTATTCTTTACTTTTTCCTCCTTTTCCAGGCTCAGCAGGGAGCTGCTGGAGGTAGTAGAGCCTGAAGTCTTGCAGGACTCACTGGATAGATGTTATTCAACTCCTTCCAGTTGTCTTGAACAGCCTGACTCCTGCCAGCCGTATGGAAGTTCCTTTTATGCATTGGAGGAAAAACATGTTGGCTTTTCTCTTGACGTGGGAGGTGAGTACCTTTCTATGAAGGTGATAAGGATCCACTGAGTCTTCCATATAAAGATCATGTTCCTGCTCCAAGTGGCCATTACTGAGCTGAGAGATGTCATTGCCACAGGGAGGACCTATAGGCACATGTAGGTTGAATGAAACTCTAGTTCTACCTGGAAGCCCAGACAAGGGATGGGTCAGTGAGCAAGACTCTCTTCCTAGTCTCAGGCCATACCTGTGGCGCCCTGATCCTACTCTCATGACATTGGACCTGGGCAGATGTGACAAATTCAGAGAACTATGATTTTGACTCAAGGGTTTGTAGATTTCCTTTTTCACTCTAATTTCAGTGTCTAAAGTCCTCACAACCATGAACAATCTGAGTATTTGATGAGACAGGGCTAAATATTGCAGTTTTTCTCCTAGAAATCATTTGAGGGTATTTGCTTTAAGTTGATTGTAAAAATATGGCATAACTGTTTGCACAAACTTGGGACAAATGATATTGGGATAACGATCTACTAGAATAGGGACATTTTACCCACAGTTTCTGGGAGAAAAACCGAGGAATTTCTATCACGACCAGCCTTCAGGCCTCCTGAAATATATCTCTCACAGTGTCCTATTCTTATGCTGAGGAGCCTGAGGTCCCTGTGTGAGGATTAGACAGTGGATTGTTATGTGTGTAGGGGAATCAGCTTAATGTGTCTGTCCATGTCTGAATTTATTGCAGAAATTGAAAAGAAGGGGAAGGGGAAGATAAGAAGGGGAAGAAGATCAAAGAAGAAAAGAAGAAGGGGAAGAAAAGAAGGGGAAGAAGATCAAAACCCACCATGCCCCAGGTGACTTTCAGCAATTGTGGATGCTTAGTTCTGTGTTAACACCTGGAGGCAACAGATTCAGGGAAACCAGAGTGTGTTTGATGTCATGTTTTCAACGAAGGCTGAATTACTCCTACTGTCATTGCTGTTGGTTTTCATTGCAGTAGATGTTTAGGTTTCCATTTCTTCCTCCCCTTATCATTTACTAACGTACCACAGGTTGACCATACTTCAAAAGCTGTACTCTCATGGCCACTGCATCGAATTTTGAGCATATTTTATGGAAAACTATTGAGCTCACTCTTTTCATGATCACAGTTTGCTGTGTGTCATGAGGGCACTAACTCAGAGTGTCCTTTTACTCCCTTACCAGTATGTCACCTGGCCAATTCACTAGGTCACTTTCTCTCTGTCTCTGTCTCTGTCTCTCTCTCTCTGTCTTTCTCTTTCATTGTTTTCTACCTGGCCCTGTTCTATCCCAACATAAAGGCAATAATTTGTTACCTCATTAATGGATCTGTCCTTTTTCTTTTCTAACCACTTCCTTATGTTACTTCTGAAATCTAGTGGGGCTCTGTGGTGTCTGATTTTCCCTGGCTGCTTCTTTAGTTTTGTCTCCTTTTCCAGGCTCAACAGCGTGCTGATGGAAGTGGAAGAGCCTGAAGTCTTACAGGACTCACTGGATAGATGTTATTCGACTCCATCAATGTACTGTGAACTACGTGACTCATTCCAGCACTACAGAAGTGTGTTTTAGTCATTTGAGGAACAGCACATCAGCTTTGCCCTTGACATGGACAATAGGTTCTTTACTTTGACGGTGACAAGTCTCTATCTGGTCTTCCAGATGGGAGTCATATTCCCACAATAAGCAGCCCTTACTAAGCCGAGAGGTGTCATTCCTGCAGGCAGGACCTATAGGCGCCTGAAGATTTGAATGAAACTATAGTTCCATTTGGAAGCCCAGACATAGGATGGGTCAGTGGGCATGGCTCTATTCCTATTCTCAGAGCATGCCAGTGGCAACCTGTGCTCAGTCTGAAGACAATGGACCCACGTTAGGTGTGACACGTTCACATAACTGTGCAGCACATGCCGGGAGTGATCAGTCGGACATTTTAATTTGAACCACGTATCTCTGGGTAGCTACAAAATTCCTCAGGGATTTCATTTTGCAGGCATGTCTCTGAGCTTCTATACCTGCTCAAGGTCATTGTCATCTTTGTGTTTAGCTCATCCAAAGGTGTTACCCTGGTTTCAATGAACCTAACCTCATTCTTTGTGTCTTCAGTGTTGGCTTGTTTTAGCTGATCCATCTGTAACACAGGAGGGATCCTTGGCTGAGGATTGTATTTCAGAACCACCAACTGCTCTTGACAATTGTTAACCCGCTAGGCTCCTTTGGTTAGAGAAGCCACAGTCCTTCAGCCTCCAATTGGTGTCAGTACTTAGGAAGACCACAGCTAGATGGACAAACAGCATTGGGAGGCCTTAGCCCTGCTCCTCTCAATTCCATCCTGTAGAGAACAGGAGTCAGGAGCCGCTGGCAGGAGACAGCATGTTACCCAGGACTCTGCCGGTGCAGAATATGAGCAATGCCATGTTCTTGCAGAAAACGCTTAACCTGAGTTTCATAGGAGGTAATCACCAGACAACTGCAGAATGTAGAACACTGAGCAGGACAACTGACCTGTCTCCTTCACATAGTCCATATCACCACAAATCACACAACAAAAAGGAGAAGAGATATTTTCGGTTGAAAAAAAGTAAAAAGATAATGTAGCTGCATTTCTTTAGTTATTTTGAACCCCAAATATTTCCTCATCTTTTTGTTGTTGTCATGGATGGTGGTGACATGGACTTGTTTATAGAGGACAGGTCAGCTGTCTGGCTCAATGATCTACATTCTGAAGTTGTCTGAAAATGTCTTCATGATTAAATTCAGCCTAAACGTTTTGCCGGGAACACTGCAGAGACAATGCTGTGAGTTTCCAACCTCAGCCCATCTGCGGGCAGAGAAGGTCTAGTTTGTCCATCACCATTATGATATCAGGACTGGTTACTTGGTTAAGGAGGGGTCTAGGAGATCTGTCCCTTTTAGAGACACCTTACTTATAATGAAGTACTTGGGAAAGCAGTTTTCAAGAGTATAAATATCCTGTATTCTAATGATCATCCTCTAAACATTTTATCATTTATTAATCCTCCCTGCCTGTGTCTATTATTATATTCATATCTCTACACTGCAAATTTTGGGTCTCAATTTTTACTGTGCCTTTGTTTTTACTAGTGTCTGCTGTTGCAAAAAGAAGAAAACATTCTCTGCCTGAGTTTTAATTTTTGTCCAAAGTTAATTTTAATCTATACAATTAAAACCTTTTGCCTATCACTCTGGACTTTTGGATTGTTTTTCACATTCAGTGTTATAATATTTGATTATGCTGATTGGTTTTGGTGGGTACTGATGCGAATTAATAAAAACATTTCATTTCCATGTTTATTTTGTAATCTCTTCCACATTGTAGGCTATGTTTACCATACGTAGCAGAATGTGTTTACATTTCTTGGTTCTAGTCATTTGTATTCTTCGTGAGTGTGAGAGTGTGTGTGTGTGTGTGTGTGTCTGTGTGTGCCTTTGGCATTTAGGAAGGGTTGTATAGCTCATGTTAAATATTGCACTAAAAATGTTTTTGATGGTTTTCCTCCCTTTGAACTAGACACACTTCTAATATTTGGTTTATAGTTTTAAATTATAACTTTCAGCATCAAATATTTCCATACAACAGTCAATTACATGATGTGTTTTCTTTTTCCTACCTCCTTTACCTGCCACTTCTCATAATAGTATTTGAACCTAAACATATACCGGTGACATTCTGTGATTATCATCTTGCCCCTACCTTGGTTTTTGGTTTAGATCCACAATGAAATATATTAACGCTCATGAGCTATTCAAAAGTGAATGTCACAGTCATCACTTGCTGAGTGGTACTCATCCTTAACAGAGTCCTCATGAGGGAATCAGGTCTCGCTGAGTTTAGCATGTTTAATAATCTTTTCTCACGGTCTCGATACATGGATCGCATTACTAGATATAAGGTGCTTGCCCAAAATGATTTTTCTGGAGTTTTTAGGAGATATTGTCTTCCTTGGGGGACATACATGGTGTATGTTCTCATTGTGGGATTCGATTTTGTTCTACCAGGACCTCTAATTTCTGCCAGTTACTTCACTCATTTGTTCTCTTCACCATGAGTCTCCAGAGGATACTTCCATGGTCCGTGCCTCCCCATCTCCCAGCAATTCTGCATTTCCAAGATTGGCACCTCTGGTCCTCTGCACGGTGAAGCCCCTTCCTTTCAATTCCCCAGTAGCCAGTGCTCTAATCCACCAGGTCTCAGGCATGATCTATGTTTCTCCACACTCGCTTTCTGAGGATAGTTTTGCCTGGGTTCTATCATGAACAGGCCCTCCCTGCTGTCCTGGCCTCTATTTGCATAGTGTTTCCTGCTCCCTCTGCCATCGTGTGGCTCCCAGACCTGGCTAAAGAAAATCACCTGAGGGCCACAGTGTTCCCTAGCCCTGGTGTTTAGGGGCAGGATTATGGGTGAGATTTTTGAGTCTCTAAGTTGACCCCTACGGCTCTGAAGTGTATGTTGAGAAATTCAGCTGTTATCATCCTAGGTGGACTTGCTCCCTCCTATCCTCCTACTTCAAATGCAGAACTTCAATCGTTTACAAAAGAAGACTGAATCGTATAATAGAACACACCCTTATTCATTGGCTGGCTTCACCAATCTCATGGCTGAACTTGTAAAAATACAATCTTAGCCACATACCTATGAAATGTATATGTGTGTGTATATATATACATGAATTTGCTTCTGAGATTATGGAGGCTGAAATTCCCAAGATGGAAGGAAAGCTGGATACCCAGGAAAGCATTTGTTTCCCATTAGGCCTCTTAATTCTCTCCTGGCCCTTGATTGATTGCATGAGGCCCACCCCTATTAAGGAGGGCAATCTGCTTCACTTAGTCTGCCCATCCCAATGTTAATCGTATCTGAAAGACTCTCTGGAACACAACCAGAATCATGTTTGGCCAAATGTCCTGGCACCCTGGTGCTCGGTCACAGTGACAAGTACAAGTAACTATCACATATGCCCTTTGTCATATTGGTGATTTCCACTGTTTTTCTCCCAAACTGCAGCTTATATTTGTTCTCTTAGTACTGTTGAGCAAAAACTTAATTTTTATAAAGTCGAATTTATCAATGTTTTCTTTAATGGTTTGTGTTTATTGATAATAAAGAACACTTTACCTAACTCTGTGTCATGAAGATTTTGTCTTATATTTTCTGCTATACTTTTTCTAGTTTTATAGTTTATATTTAGTTGCATAATCCATTTTGAGTTAGTTTTTGAGTTAGTATTGAGGTTCAGGTGAATTTTTTTCCTTTGGGGATAAAAAAAAAATTGTGTAAAAAAAAGTTGTTTCTACACAATTTGTTGACAAGAGAATGCCTTCTCCACTGAATCATATTTGCACCTTTGTCAATCCATTGGGTGGTTGAGACTGGTGAGAGGACTGTCCTGGTGTTTGGACAGAGAGACAGGGCATGAAGTAGGGTGGTTCTTATGGGAAAAATTAAGGAAGACACATTTTTCCATGAGGAATAGGAAATCCCCAAGCACAATTGGGGGTACCCTCTACCAGCATGTTGTAGCACACTCATCTCTGCTCTACCTGTCCTGCTGCAAAAGCTTGGGTGTGCATAGACACTGAGGTTGAGTGGTGTCTTTGGGCATTTTGAGCATTGACACCAAAGTTCCAGCATCAAATCTTAGAATATCAAGCAGCCAGATGGATCACCTGAGGTCAGGAGTTCACGACCAGCCTGACTAACATGGTGAAACCCCATATCTACTAAATACAAAAAAATTAGCCAGGCATGATTGTGCATGCCTGTAATCTGAGCTACTTGGGAGGCTGAGACAGGAGAATCGCTTGTGTACCTGGGAGGTGGAGGTTGCAGTGAGCTGAGATCACACCATTGCACTCCAGCCTGGGCAATGAGAGCAAAACTCTATCCCCCCGCAAAAAAAAAAAAAATAAAAGAATATGAAGCAGCCAAAGAAGCAGGAAAACATGACACATAATGAAGAATCTAATAATCTAGTTGAAATTGACAGACATGTTGGACATAGAAGAAAAGGACATTAGAGCAGTTAGTATAATTGTATTTTAATTAAATGGGGAGGTTGAAGATTTTTTAAATATCAAATTCTGTAGATAAAAAGTATGATTTACAGTCTGAAGTGGAAGAAGGCAGTGGATTAAACATTGCAGAAGAGAAGATTATTGAACTAGAAGGAATAGAAGTTGAAACTAACATAAATGAAACACACAGTAACAAATGACTTGAAAACATAAAAAGACCATTGGCATCAAAACTTTAAACCCCCCAGTATAGGGCTAAATGGAATCCCTGAAGGGCGTGTAGTGGAGAAGAGAGACAAAGATATTTAAAACATACTGGATGAAAGATTTAGAAGCTCCATGGAAACCATAAACTTCAAATATTACAGAAATATGATTATTCTAAGAACAAGAAACATGAAGAAAACTTCACCAAGGAACGCCTTAATCAAATCCATCAAAACCAGTGATAAAAAGGAAATCCTAAAAGGAATAAAAAGGGAAAGAACATGTTACATACAGAGCACTAAATATAAGGATGGCATAAGATTTCTCATACAAACAAGAAGTTTGCAATAAAGAACTTAAAAAAAGAAAAACTGTCACCTACAATTCTACACCTGGCCAAATTATCTTTTAAAAATAAACATGAGAAAAAGTATTTTTGAACAGAAAACAAAATGATCTCAATTTGCAGATGTTGTGATCCTATACATAGAAAATCCCAAATAATACCTACAGATGCAAACACACATACATGCATACAGAGGCCAGACACACACACACACACACACACACACACACACACTCACATACACACACTACTAGAGTTAATAAGTGAATTCAGCAAACTTTCAGCAAACAATCAGTTGTGTTAGCAATGAACAATCTGAGAAGAAAATTGACACAATGATTTCATTTATAATAGCACTTGTAAGAATAATATGCCTGAGAATAAATTTGTTCAAGAAGGTGCCGTACTTGTACACAGACAACTACAGAACATTGCTCGAGGAGATTCAGGAAGACCTAAATCAATGGACAGACATCTTGTGTCCATGGGTTGGAAGTTGTAACATGGTTAAGATAAAAATACAACTCAAAGCAACCCACAGATTCAATACAATCCTATCAAGAAGTGGCCTTTTTTACAGGAATGCCTAAGAAGAACTTCATATTCCTAAAAAATAGTGTGTCCTCCCAAAACAAAAGCAATCTTGAAATGCAAGAAGAAACATTTTCTATTCCAAAGGTCTTTAACTGCTCTAAGCAGTACTTGGTAGTCTTCAATATATAGGCTTTCATATCTCTTTTTTTCTTCTTTTGTTTCTGCACAGGATCTCACTCTTTCACCCAGGCTGGAGTACAGTGGCACAATCACAGCTCACTGCAGCATGGAATTCTCAGGCCTATGACATCCTAGGGCCTCATCCACTGATTCCTGGGACTACAGGCTCACACCACCAAACCTGGATAATTTTTCTGATTTTCAGTAGAGATGAGGGCTCACTATGTTGCCTAGGCTAGTTTCAAGCTTCTGAGATCAAGCAACCCTCCTGCCACAGCCTTCCAAAGTGCTGGGATTCGAAGCCAAGCCTGGCTGGCTTTCATGTCTTTTCTATGTAGTTTATGTTTCTGGATGCCATTGAGAGTCTGGCTGGCTTTCACATATTTGCTATGTCGTTTATATTTCTTGATGTTATTGTAAATGTTTATTAAAGGAATCTTTTAAAAACTTTGTTTTGGCCAGGTGCGGTGGTCCACGCCTGTAATCCTAGCACTTTGGGAGGCCGAGGTGGGTGGATCATGAGGTCAGAAGATCGAGACCATCCTGGCTAACATGGTGAAACCCCATTCCTACTAAAAATACAAAAAAAAAAAATTAGCCTGGCGTGATGGCGGGCGCCTGTAGTCCCAGGTACTTGGAAGGCTGAGGCAGGAGAATGGCGTGAACCTGGGAGGTGGAGCTTGCAGTGAGCCAAGATGGTGCCACTGCACTCCAGCCTGGGAGACAGAGTGAGACTCCATCTCAAAAAAAAAAAAATTGTATTAAAATTATATATTTAAGGAATTACATATATATTTATATATATATAATACATATCCTTAAATTATATATATTTAAGGAATACAATCTGAGGACTACATATACATATACATAATGAACTAATGCCTACTAGGTGAGGGGCTGCCTTGTGAGCAAACCCAAGGTCCCTGGCTTATGAAGCCTTTGTCTAGAAGGAGGGAGGGATCAGCAAGGTGGGCACACAGCAGGTTCTGTCTTTGGTGTGGGCATCTGCCCACTCGGGTCTCTGGCAATACTAACCAGGCTTCACGATGGGTGAGGTGAGCTAGGAATGGGAAAGTGGATGACTTCAGATCCAGAGACTGCAGTTGTCACCTGGGGACCTGGCGTAGGCGTGGAGGAGTCTCCCACTGACTTGGCCCTGGGTCAATGCCCAAACATGCACAAGGACGGGACTCTCGGCCTCAATGCTTTAGGGGCCCCCAGTCTTCTAAAGAGGGTTTGTGGTGGGGAAGAATGTTCAACAAAACAGAAGAGTTATGGGTACTCTAGCTTGGCAACGGAGAATACTTCCTTGTGCTACTAAATGGCAATATTTGACAATTACGGATGACACAATTGAGCAACAGCTTTCACTGTTTAACAAGCAGTGTCTCTGGAACACTGGGTTAGTGCTGTCGGATGTTGACTGAAAAGTCAGTGGTTTGAGCCCATCCAGTCATATTAATGTTTCTAGCTGATGTGACCTTCCATCTGAAGAGTCTCTTCCTTGGACCAAATATCTCTTAAAGCTTCTCTTCTTCTTGTCTCTTGTCTATTTTCTAAGGTGCCTCTTTGTTGCTTGGGGCAAAAAAAGTCCATTTTAAATCCACACCCAACAAACATCTACCCTTACGTATCCTGGTTTTTAGGGTTTTGAGTTTGTTGTTTGTTTTCTCAGCTTCTCATATTTGGAATACTGGAAATTCCTAAAGTGGAAAATGACAGAACGTGAATCACAGCTATGGTGAAGCCACAGGCTCTGGATGAAAAACCTAATCTGCCAGGGTTTGAAGTTAAACACATGAATCTTCTGTGCCTCCATTTCTATCTGTCCAATGGGCTAAATCAGAACACTTAGGTTGTCCAGTGTTTAAATGAGCAGTGCAGGAAAAGCCTGGAGCCAATGCCTGTCATGTAGTAATTGGTCAACACGCATGAGCTCCTATCAGCGCCATGGTCTCCAGCATTTCCATCAGGCTTTGATCTTTGAAATGTCCTTCTTGATATGAATGGATCATTCCTCAAACATTCTCTAACTGATGGCCATGAAATTGCTCCAATGTGTATTATTACAAATACAACTGCAGGGACCAGACTGACACATGTATCTGTCGTGCATCGCTTGTCTATTTCTCTGTAGACACCTGGAGATGGAATTGTCAGACCAAAGTATTTATACATTTTTGATTTTGCTAATTTCTGTCTAAATTACTGTGAAAAGAAGATATAACATGTCATACTTTTAACATTTTTTGAGAATTCTCTTTTTCTCCATCTTCTGGCCAAAACTGGGAAGTACTTGCCTACCAATTCCTCTGAACTCACTTTTGCCAACATTTGTGTAGTCATACAGTGAGATCACATTGTATGCAAGACATCAAACTCAAATCCTTAAATGAAAGCGATTAACATGACTGTGTAAAAATTTATCTTCAAAATACAATGAATACATATATACACATATTTATATGGGAAAGGAATTATTTGGATACTTTATCAAAGTTATATATACTTGAAAATTTGTTTAGTAAAATAGCAGTCCCCTTGTGTACTCCCAGAGTTTCATCACATAGAAGCAATTATTTCGTTATTTATCTCCTTATGTCTAAATAGATATTATTACTTTTTGATTTTCAAGTTTAGGCACTACCTCTCCTTCACATACTTGCTCATCACCACCACCCCCAAACACGCCTCTCACCACCTTACCCTCCAACACGTTTGTGTCCTCATTTGCTGGGTCAATTGCTACATTGTTATAACTTGTATATTTTATTCAGAGTTCAGTCACATTGGATATACATAGCAGGAATGAGAGGCCAGTATCTTCAGGGACTCTCTCTCAAGTAGATAAGCTTCAAAGATTTTTGCAATCTTTGGTCACCCTCCCCATCGTTTTCCTATTCCAGGTAAGTACTGGATCTGATGGGCCCAGCTCAGGTCAGGCACTCTCTCCTTGAGCAGGGGAGAGCGGGACATCTTCATGTGTACTACCAGGAAGACACTGTTCAAAGAGGGACAGGTAGTTCTAAGACAGAAAAGTCTGTCTGGGGTACAGGTAGGCAAAACAAGGACACACACACAAAAATTAGTCTGTTCTGTGAGGGGAGCATGCAGTAGAGGGTGGATTCAGAGTGGGAGGGGAGAGTTTTGAGAGATATGGGCCATGGATATCACTCTGTGGGCCGGAGCCACACAAGACGGTTGGGGTCTTTCAGGGGCAGGGAGCTGAGGAGGATCTGCCCTCCCCAACCTGGGAGACTGGTGAGGGGACTGTCCTGGTCACCAGACAGAAATGGGGTCTGGGCCAGGGCGGTTCTGGTGGGAAAGAAAGAACAGGACATCTCCTTAAGGAAAGGTCCTGAGTCAGGTCTTAGTAGGGAGAGAGGTTACCTTGGGCATTGGCAGCTGAAGATGCTTGGCCAGATGACGGCACTGAAATCCATGTCCTATAAACTTGTAGTTCTAGTAAAAGAATGACAGCAGTAAAGGGTCTTTAGGAAGAGGAGGTGGAAGACCTGTTTTGGGTTGGGGGCTCCAAGAAGAATGTCTGCCTTGCTGTGCAGAAGCCTGCTACACAACCTCCCTGGTCCCCTTCCTTAGTCTCCTGGCCAGACCCCTGTGAGCCCTGGAAGTGCACAATCAGCTCAGCCAAGGCATCTCCAGCTGGGACTCATCCCTGGGCATTTCTGTGGCCTTGGGTGCCCTGGCCTCCTCCAGGCCCTGTCTTGCAGGCAATCATCCTGCAAGGGAAGGGGGAAAGGAGGCTACCTGACAGTTAACTCTGAGTGGCTTCACAAGGTCCTGACTTAGCTCCTAGTCACTTGCAAACCTATATACCCCCATTTCATCCCCCAAACGATGAAAAGAAACTTTGCAGGACTCATGCCAGACAAATAGGGTGGGACCATTCTGTAGAGCCAAGTTCTCAGGACATCAATAAGAGATGGAAACCACCTGCTGGAAGGTGCCACAGTGGGAACCTTGGGGTCAGGGAGCAGTCACTGAACTGTCAGGGTGAATCCTGGCTCCTGGCCCTCACACACCCTTTCTCCCCCTCCCTCCTTCTCTCCTCCCTCCTGTCTGCTCTTTCCCCTCTCTCCCCTGCATCCCTCAGGTACCTTCCATGGGCCCTGACCCCTCCTTTTCAGAGGCTCCAAAGTGAGCCCTCAAAACACTTGGTAACCTTGGACATTTCCAAAACTGGAGAGACTTGACCACAGCATTTTTATGAGCTAGGAAGGTCCTCCAGAGCTCTTGCCTAAATTTTTCTGCTGATGAGAAGAGAACAAGAGTTTCCATCTGATCTGGTCCTAAGGCAACTTCTCCTTGGAGCAGAGTCTGGGCAGGAAGAAGGGGGTTGCCCAGGGCCCTGGACTTGCCCCTCCCAGCTGCTCTGCTCCTCTCCCCTTCACTGCGGGAGGCTGGCCAGGGATCAGGAACCTCTGTTCTCCACAGATGCTGGGATCTCAAGTTCAAATCTAAATATTGGCTGATTTAGGAGGCTAAGGGAGGCAATTGGCTGGAGGGAGGTGTCAGGATTTGGGACAAGAGCAGCATCTAGTTGCCGTCCACAGAGACCCCAAGGACAGGAATCCACTGGTAGCTGGTCGGAGGGGATCCCATGAAAACAAAATCAAACGCGCACTTTAGTACTGGACCCAAGATCAGGAGATGAAAAACTGCACTGTCCTAAGGGATGAAGGAATTAGGGAATCCCAGAAGTAAAGCTTTTCATATAGGTCATTTCTTCCAAAGAGACATAGGGCAATGGCCCAATGACGTGAACAAAAGAAAACTCGGGGTCTAGGATTGAGGGGAGGCAGCCTTTTTAGTGGAGACCTGTGACCTGGAGGCCCAGGGTCACCCTGAGAGGGGAGGGGTCTTGCTGGTCGCTGGGTCCGGGACTCCAATTGCACACAGCCAGTGGCATGGAGGGTCTGTGACCACGATTGGGCAATTTCCCCCATTCTGCTTATGGAGCAATAGAGAAGAACCTCACTGGAATTATACAGAAAGGTCCCAGTGAGACTTGAACTCTGATCACTGTATTCAGAGTCCAAAGTGCTCACCGTTACACCATGGAACCTCACACTAGCTTATAACTGGAGGTAACTGAGTTCATACTTAGCAGCCATAGTTCCCACACACCTATGTTAAGGCATTTCTTCTGATCCCTCAAGCAACACCAAGGAAGGTGGACCTGCGAGAGAGGAGTCATCCTCTTTCTCTCTGCCCTCTCCTTTGATCAACTTTTATCATTTCATTTGCACCTCAGAAAATGAGTCAAAATCCAGCTTGGGCTTAGGGCCAGAGAAGAGCCCTTGAGGCCTCCCTCATGGAAAACATACTCTCTCAGTTTACCAGAGTTTCCTGTACCAAGGGGAAATTTCCGCAAACCGTAGTGCTATATTCTTTTTGCCTTCCCTCTTTTCCCTTTGCCCAGGGAGGCCAGATGATTGTGAGAACAGGACTTGGGACTTCCTGGGTGCCTTTCCCCCTTCCTCCATGTGATAAATAATGGCTGACACCAAGCAAGTGGGATTGGGAGGCAGGGAATCTTTCATTTCCTTCTTCATATACTTCTATGCATTTGTTTGGTTGGTTTTGGCAAGATTTTCTCACCAGAAATGGAGATTTGTTGGATTTAAAATAAAAAGTAATCAGCCATGTTTTACATTTCTATAAAACACTCAAACCAGGCCATACTCCCCTGCTGTGCCTCAAAATCAACCATAAACTGTCGAGGTCAGGAGACAGGGCCCTGACACTTAAGCACAGTGTGTTTCCTCAGAATTGGCCAAGTTGATGCCACTCCAATTTCTCAATATACCACAACCCATTAATTGCGGTTTTTAAAAGTGTACATGTATTTTTACCAAAACCCCAGGGCTTCAGTGTTCTCAGCACACAGAAAGACAATCATTGAGACATTGAGTATTGCTGAGGAAGAAGGCTTTAATTGGGTGCTGCAGCTGAGTAGACGGGAGATGAGTCTCAAATCTGTCTCCCTGATTGACTCAAGTTAGGGGTTTATATAGCACAGAAGAAACGTAACTGTGTGTGGGAAGAGAGGAACTAGGGAGGGGTGAGGAAGCACTCGTGATGAGTGAGGGGACTGGCATCTCATTGTCTGGATGCTGTGATTGGCTGAGTTTCAGGTCTCTGATGCTTTTTGAGAGGACTGAGAGTCCTTTCCTGAGGAAGGAACTCAGATAAAACAAATATAATTTTCTTTTATAGAATGGCTTGACCTCAGGAGTTTGAAACCAGTCTGGGCAATATGGTGAAACCCTGTCTCTACCAAAATACAAAAAAAAAAAGAGGGTTGCTTCCAAGATGGCTGAATAGGAACAGCTCCGGTCTACAGCTTCCAGTGAGATAGACGCAGAACACAGGTGATTTCTGCATTTCCAACTGAGGTACCTGGTTCATCTCACTGGGACTCGTTGAACAGTGGGTGCAGCCCATAGAGGATGAGCCAAAGCAGGGTGGGGTGTCACCTCACCTGGGAAGCGCAAGGGGTTGGGGGATTTCTTTTTCCTAGCCAAGGGAAGCTGTGAGTGACTGCACCTGGAGGAGCAGTACACTCCTGCTCAAATACTGTGCTTTTTTCCACTGTCTTTGCAACTGACAGACCAGGAGATTCCCTCTTGTGCCTGCCTCGGCAAGTCCCATGCCCACGGAGCCTTGCTTGCTGCTAGCACAGCAGTCTGAGATCAACCTGCGACATTGGAGCATGGCAGGGAGAGGGGGTTCTGCCACTGCTGAGGCTCGAGTACTTGGTTCCATGGTCACAGTGTAAACAAAGTGGTAGGGAAGCTCGAACTGGGCAGGGCCCACTGCAGCTCAGCAAGGCCTGCTGCCTCTAGATTCCACCTCTGGGGGCAGAGCATATCTGAATAACAGGCAGCAGACAGCTTCTGCAGACTTAAATGTCCCTGCCTGACAGCCCTAAAGGCAGCAGTAGTTCTCCCAGCATGGCATTTGAGCTCTGATAATGGACAGACAGCCTCCTCAAGTGGGTCTCTGACCACCGTGTAGCCTAACTGGGAGACACCTCCCAGTAGGGGCCGACAGACACCTCATACAAGTGGGTGCCCCGCTGGGACAAAGCTTCCAGAGGAAGGATCAGGCAGCAATATTTGCTATTCTGCAGCCTCTGCTGGTGACACCCAGGCAAACAGGGTCTGGAGTGGACCTCCAGCAAACTCCAACAGACCTGCAGCTGAGGGACCTGCCTGGTTAGAAGGATTAACAAACAGAAAGGAATAGCATCAACATCAACAAAAAGACATCCACACTAAAACCCCATCTGTAGGTCACCAACATCAAAGACCAAAGTAGTACATAAAACCACAAAGATGGGGAGAAACCAGAGCAGAAAGGCTGAAAATTCCAAAAACCAGAGCGCCTCTTCTCCTCCAAAGGAACACAAGTCCTCACCAGCAAGGGAACAAAACTGGATGGAGAATTAGTTTGATGAGGTGACAGAAGCAGGCTTCAGAAGGTCGGTAATAACAAACTTCTCCGGGCTAAAGGAGCATGTTCTAACCCATCACAAGGAAGCTGAAAACCTTGAAAAAAGGTTAGATGAATGGCTAACTAGAATAAACAGTGTAGAGAAGAGCTTAAGTGACCTGAAGGAGCTGAAAACCACAGTATGAGAACCTCATGAAGCATAAACAAGATTCAATAGCCAATTCAATCAAGCGGAATAAAGGATATCAGTGATTGAAGATCAAATTAATGAAATAAAGTGAGAAGACAAGATTAGAGAAAAAAGAGTAAAAAGAAATGAACAAAGACTCCAGTAAATATGGGACTATGTAAAAAGACCAAATCTACATTTGATAGCTGTACCTGAAAGTGACAGAGAGAATGGAACCAAGTTAGAAAACACTCTTCACGATATTATTCAGGAGAACTTCCCCATCCTAGCAAGGAAGGCCAACATTCAAATTCAAGAAATACAGAGAACACCACAAAGATACTCATTGAGAAGAGCAACCCCAAGACACATAATTGTCAGATTCACCAAGGTTGAAATGAAGGAAAAAATATTAAGGGCAGCCAGAGAGAAAGGTCGGGTTACCCACAAAGGGAAGCCCATCAGACTGAGAGCGGACCTCTCGGCAGAAACACTACAAGCCAGAAGAGAGTGGGGACCAATATTCAACATTCTTAAAGAAAAGAATTTTCAATCCAGAATTTCATATCCAGCCAAACGAAGCTTCATAAGTGAAGGAGAAACAAAATCTGTTACAGACAAGCAAATGCTGAGAGACTTTGTCACCACCAGACCTGCCTTACAAGAGCTCCTGAAGGAAGCACTAAACATGGAAAGGAACAACCAGTACCAGCCACTGCAAAAACATGCCAAATTGTAAAGACCATCTATGCTATGAAGAAACTGCATCTATTAATAGGTAAAATAAGGCCGGGCGCAGTGGCTCACGCCTGTAATCCCAGAACTTTGGGAGGCTGAGGCGGGCGGATCACAAGGTCAGGAGATTGAGACCACCCTGGCTAACACTGTGAAACCCCATCTCTACTAAAAATACAAAAACAGAACTAGCCGGGCATGGTGGTGGGTGCCTGTAGTCCCAGCTATTCAAGAGGCTGAGGCAGGAGAATGGTGTGAACCTGGAAGGTGGAGCTTGCAGTGAGCCGAGATCACACCACTGCACTCCAGCCTGGGTGACAGAGCGAGACTCCATCTCAAAAAAAAAAAAAAAAAAAAAAAAGGTGGGAAATAACCAGCTAGTATCACAATGACAAGATCAAATTCACACATAACAATATTAACCTGAAACATAAATGGGATAAATTCCCCAATTAAAAAACACAGACTGGCAAATTGGATAAAGAGTCAAAACCCAGGGGCTGTTCCAAGATGGCTAAATAGGAACAGCTCCAGTCTACAGCTCCCAGCATGAGTGATGCGGAAGATGGGTGATTTCTGCATTTCCAATTGAGGTACCGGGTTCTTCTCACTGGGGCTTGTCAGACAGTGGGTGCAGGACAGTGGGTGCAGCTCACCGAGCATGAGCTGAAGCAGGGCAAGGCATCGCCTCACCCAGGAAGTGCCAGGGGTCAGGGAATTCCCTTTCATAGCCAAGCAAAGCTGTGGCAGATGGCACCTGGAAAATTGGGTCACTCCCATGCTAATACAGCACTTTTACAATGTTCTTAACAAACGGCACACTAGGAGATTATATCCCATGCCTGGCTCAGAGGGTCACACACCCACTGAGCCTCACTCCTTGCTAGCACAGCAGTCTGAGATCGAACTGCAAGGTGGCAGTGAGGCTTGGGGAGGGGTGCCCGCCATTGCTGAGGCTTGAGTAGGAAAAAAAAGCTGCAGGGAAGTTCAAACTGGGTGGAGCCCACTGCAGCTCAAGGAGGCCTGCCTGCCTCTGTAGACTCCACCTCTGGGGGCAGGGCATAGCCAAACAAAAGGCAGCAGAAACCTCTGCAGACTTAAATGTCCCTGTCTGACAGCTTTGAAGAGAGTAGTGGCTCTCCCAGCATAGAGTTTGAGATCTGAGAACGGACAGACTGCCTCCTCAAGTGGGTCCCTGACTCCCAAGTAGCCTATCTGGGAGGCATCCCCCAGTAGGGGCAGACTGACACCTCACACGGCCGGGTACCCCTCTGAGACAAAACCTCCAGAGGAACGATCAGACAGCAACATTTGCTGTTCAGCAATATTTGCTGTTCTGCAGCCTCCACTGCTGATACCCAGGCAAACAGGGTCTGGATTGGACCTCCAGCAAACTCCAACAGACCTGCAGCTGAGGGTCCTGACTGTTAAAAGGAAAACTAACAGACAGAAAGGACATGCACACCAAAACCCCATCTGTATGTCACTATCATCAAAGACTACAGGTAGATAAAACCACAAAGATGGGGGAAAAAAAGAACAGAAAAACTGAAAATTCTAAAAATCAGAGTGCCTCTCCTCCTCCAAAGGAATGCAGCTCCGCACCAACAATGGAACAAAGCTGGACAGAGAATGACTTTGATGAGTTGAGAGAAGAAGGCTTCAGAAGATCAAACTACTCCGAACTAAAGGAGGAAGTTCGAACCCATTGCAAAGAAGTTAAAAACCTTGAAAAAAGATTAGATGAACGACTAACTAGAATAACCAATGCAGATAAGTCCTTAAAGGACCAGGTGGAGCTGAAAACCATGGCATGAGAGCTACATGATAAATGCACAAGCTTCAGTGGCCGATTCGATCAACTGGAAGAAAGGGTATTGGTGATTCAAGATCAAATGAATGAAATGAAGTGAGAAGAGAAGTTTAGAGAAAAAAGAATAAAAAGAAATGAACAAAGCCTCCAAGAAATATGGGACTATGTGAAAAGACCAAATCTATGTCTAATTGGTGTACCTGAAAGTGACAGGGAGAATGGAACCAAGTTGGAAAACACTCTGCAGGATATTATCCAGGAGAACTTCCCCAACCTAGCAAGGCAGGCCAACATTCAAATTCAGGAAATACAGAGAACGCCACAAAGATACTCCTCGAGAAGAGCAACTCCAAGACACATAATTGTCAGATTCACCAAAGTTGAAATGAAGGAAAAAATGTTAAGGGCAGCCAGAGAGAAAGGTCGGGATACCCACAAAGGGAAGCCCATCAGACTAACAGGTGATCTCTTGGCAGAAACTCTACAAGCCAGGAGGGAGTGGGGGCTAATATTCGACATTCTTAAAGAAAAGAATTTTCAACCCAGAATTTCATATCCAGCCAAATGAAGCTTCATAAGTGAAGGAGAAATAAAATACTTTACAGACAAGCAAATGCTGAGAGATTTTGTCACCACCAGGCCTGCCCTAAAAGAGCTCCTGAAGGAAGCACTAAATATGGAAAGGAAAAACTAGTACCAGCCACTGCAAAAACATGCCAAATTGTAAAGACCATCGATGCTAGGAAGAAACTGCATCAACTAATGAACAAAATAACCAGCTAACATCATAATGACAGGATCAAATTCACACATAACAATATTAACCTTAAATGTAAATGGGCTAAATGCTCCAATTAAAAGACACAGACTGGCATATTGGATAAAGAGTCAAGACCCATCAGTGTGCTGCATTCAGGAAAACCATCTCACATGCAGAGAAACACACAGGCCCAAAATAAAGGGATGGAGGAAGATCTACCAAGCAAATGGAAAACAAAAAAAGGCAGGGGTTGCAATCCTAGTCTCTGAAAAAACAGACTTTAAACCAACAAAGATCAAAAGAGACAAAGAAGGCCACTATATAATGGTAAAGGGATCAATTCAACAAGAAGAGCTAACTATCCTAAATATATATGCACCCAATACAGGAGCACCCAGATTCATAATGCAAGTCCTTAGAGACCTACAAAGAGGCTTAGACTCCCACACAATAATAATGGGAGCCTTTAACACCCCACTGTCAACATTAGACAGATCAACAAGACAGAAAGTTAACAAGGATATCCAGGAATTGAATTCAGCTCTGTACCAAGTGGACCTAATAGACATCTACAGAACTCTCCACCCCAAGTCAACAGAATATACATTCTTCTCAGCACCGCACTGCACCTGTTCCAAAATTGACCACATAGTTGGAAGAAAAGCACTCCTCAGAAAATGTAAAAGAACAGAAATTATAACAAACTGTCTGTCAGACTACAGTGCAATCAAACTAGAACTCAGGATTAAGAAACTCACTCAAAACCACTCAACTACATGGAAACTGAACAACCTGCTCCTGAATGACTACTGGGTAAATAATGAAATGAAGGCAGAAATAAAGAGGTTCTTTGGAATCCACGGGAACAAAGACACAACAAATCAGAATCTCTGGGACACATTTAAAGTAGTGTGTAGAGGGAAATTTATAGCAATAAATGCCCACAAGAGAAAGCACGAAAGATCTAAAATCGACACCCTAACATCACCATTAAAAGAAGTAGAGAAGCAAGAGAAAACACATTCAAAAGCTAGCAGAAAGCAAGAAATAACTAAGATCAGAGCAGAGCTGAAGGATATAGAGACACAAAAATCCCTTCAAAAAATCAATGAATCCAGGAGCTGGTTTTTTGAAAAGATCAACAAAATTTATAGACTGCCAGCAAGACTAATAAAGAAGAAAAGAGAGCAGAATCACATAGACGCAATAAAAAATGATAAAGGGGATAACACCACTGATCCCACAGAAATACAAACTACCTTCAGAGAATACTATAAACACCTCTCTGCAAATAAACAAGAAAATCTAGAAGAAATGGATAAATTCCTTGACACATACACCCTCGCAAGACTAAACCAGGAAGAAGCTGAATCTCTGAATAGACCAATAACAGGCTCTGAAATTCGGGCAATAATTAATAGCTTACCAACCAAAAAAAGTCCAGGACCAGATGGATTCACAGCCGAATTCTATCAGAGGTACAAGGAGGAGCTGATATCATTCCTTCTGAAACTATTCCAATCAATAGAAAAAGAGAGAATCCTCCCTAACTCATTTTATGAGGCCAGCATCATCCTGATACCAAAGCCTGGCAGAGACAAAACAAAAAAGGAGAATTTTAGGCCAATATCCCTGATGAACATTGATGCAAAAATCCTCAATAAAATACTGGCAAACCGAATCCAGCAACACATCAAAAAGCTTATCCACCATGATCAAGTGGGCTTCATCCCTGGGATGCAAGGCTGGTTCAACATACACAAATCAATAAACGTGATCCAGCATATAAACAGAACCAATGACAAAAACCACGAGTATTTCAATGGAGGCCGAAAAGGCCTTCGACAAAATTCAACAGCACTTCATGCTAAAAACTCTCAATAAATTAGGTATTGATGGGACGTATCTAAAAATAATGAGAGCTATTTATGACAAACCCACAGCCAATATCATACTGAATGGGCAAAAACTGGAAGCATTCCCTTTGAAAACTGGCACAAGACAGGGATGCCCTCTCCCACCACTCCTATTCAACATAGTGTTGGAAGTTCTGGCCAGGGCAATCAGGCAGGAGAAAGAAATAGAGAGTCTTTTCCTCAATTAGGAAAAGAGGAAGTCAAACTGTCCCTGTTTGCAGATGACATGATTGTTTATCTAGAACCCCCCATCACCTCAGCCCAAAATCTCCTTAAGCTGATAAGCAACTTCAGCAAAGTCTCAGGATACAAAATCAATGTGCAAAAATCACAAGCATTCTTATACACCAATAACAGACAAACAGAGAGCCAAATCATGAGTGAACTCCCATTCACAATTGCTTCAAACAGAATAAAATACCTGGGAATCCAACTTACAAGGGATGTGAAGGACCTCTTCAAGGAGGACTACAAACCACTGTTCATGGAAATAAAAGAGGACACAAACAAATGGAAGAACATTCCATGCTCATGGAGAGGAATAAACAATATCGTGAAAATGGCCATACTGCCCAAGGTAATTTATAGATTCAATGCCATCCCCATCAAGCTACCAATGACTTTCTTCACAGAATTAGAAAAAACTACTTTAAAGTTCATATGTAACCAAAAAAGAGCCCGCATTGCCAAGTCAATCCTAAGCCAAAAGAACAAAGCTGGAGGCATCACACTACCTGACTTTAAACTATACTACAAGGCTACAGTAAACAAAACAGCATGGTGCTGGTACCAAAACGGAGATACAGACCAATGGAACAGAACAGAGCCCTTAGAAATAACACCACACATCTACAACTATCTGATCTTTGACAAACCTGACAAAAACAAGAAATGGGGAAAGGATTCCCTATTTAACAAATGGTGCTGGGAAAACTGGCTAGCCATATGCAGAAAGCTGAAACTGGATCCCTTCCTTACATCTTATACAAAAATTAATTCAAGGTGGATTAAAGACTTAAATGTTAGATGTAAAACCATAAAAACCCTAGAAGAAAACCTAGGCAATACCATTCAGGACATAGGCATGGGCAAGGACTTCATGTCTAAAACACCAAAAGCAATGGCAACAAAAGCCAAAATTGACAAATGGGATCTAATTAAACTAAAAAGCTTCTGCACAGCAAAACAAACTACCATCAGAGTGAACAGGCAACCTACAGAATGGGAGAAAATTTTTGCAATCTACTCATCTGACAAAGGGCTAATATCCAGAATCTACAAAGAACTCAAACAAATTTACAGGAAAAAAAAACAACCCCATCAAAAAGAGGGCAAAGGATATGAACAGACACTTCTCAAAAGAAGACATTTATGCAGCCAACAGACATATGAAAAAATGCTCATCATCACTGGTCATCAGAGAAATGCAAATCAAAACCACAATGAGATACCACTCATGCCAGTTAGAATGACGATCATTAAAAAGTCAGGAAACAACAGATGCTGTAGAGGATGTGGAGAAATAGGAACGCTTTTACACTCTTGGTGGGAGTATAAATTAGTTCAACCATTGTGGAAGACAGTTTGGCAATTCCTCAAGGATCTAGAACTAGAAATACCATTTGACCCAGCAATCTCATTACCGGGTGAATACCCAAAGGATTATAAATCATGCTACTATAAAGACATGTGCACACCTATGTTTATTGAGGCACTATTCACAATAGCAAAGACTTGGAACTAACCCAAATGTCCATCAATAATAGACTAGATAAAGAAAATGTGGCACATATACACCAAAGAATACTATGCAGCCATAAAAAAGGATGAGTTCTTGTCTTTTGCAGGGACATGCATGAAGCTAGAAATTGTGATTCTCAGCAAAATATCACAAGGACAGAAAACCAAACTCCGCATGTTCTCACTCTTAAGTGGGAGTTGACCAATGAGAACACATGGACACAGGGAGGGGAACATCACACACCGGGGCCTGTTGTGGGGTAGGAGGCTGGGGGAGGGATAGCGTTAGGAGAAATACCTAATGTAAATGATGAGTTGATGGGTGCAGCAAACCAACATGGCACACGTACACATATATAACAAACCTGCACGTTGTGCACATATACCCTAGAACTTAAAGTATTTTTTTTTAAAAAGATTATTTTTTTGAATAAGTGTTCTACTCTTTGCTCCTTCTCAACTCCCTCTTTAAGGCCAATGAATCTTTGATTTTCTCTTTTCAGGCCCTCTTCTAGATCTCTTAAGCATTCTGTGTTCCTGCTCATTCTTCTTTTCTTTTTTCTCCTCTATTTTCAAATAGCTTGTTTGCATGCTCACTAATTCTTTCTTCTGCTTGATCAATTCTACTGAGACCCACTAATGCATTTTCCAGCTCCAGCATTTGATTTTTTTCTCTTACTTCAGTAATCTTGTTAAATTTCTGATATATTTCTGAATTGTTTCTCTGTGTTTTCTTGAAGTTCATTGAGCTTTCTCAAAATAGCTATTCTGAATTCCCTGAGAGGTTACACGTCTCCATCTCTCCAGGGTTGGTCACTGAGTGCCTTACTTGGTCCATTTGTTGAGGTCATATTGGCTTCAATGTTATTGATACTGTTGATGTTTGTCAGTATCTGGGCATTGAAGGATAAGGTATTTATTCCAGCCTTTGCAGTCAGGTCTTGTTTGTACCTGTCCTTCAGAGGACCTTCCAGGAATTCAAAGTGGGCTGACGAGTTCCCTAAGCCAGTGATCACTGCAGCCATTTTTGTACTACAGGGCACCCTAGGCCCAGGTACACTGCAATTCTTACCGATTCCTAGGTCCCCAGCCCTGTGGACTTGGGGGAAGATCAGGGATTGTTCTCCGCATTCCCAGGTAAAGCCCCTAGCTTACTTCCCTTTCTTTCCCCCAAGCAAGAGGAACCTCTCTTCAGGCTGCACTGCCTGGAGTGTGGGGAGGGGTGATACAGGCATTCCCATAGCTGCTGCAGCTGCTGCCATCATACTGGCTCACACCACAAGTCCAGGGTGCTCCAGACCTATGCAGCATCAGGGCTTGCCCAAGGACTGTGGTCACTACAGCCTGCCTGCCACTGAAATTTATTTGAAGCCCAAGAAATTTCCAGTGATAAAGCCGGCCAGAACTTTGCTGGGTTCTTCCTGCTGGGGCAGCTGGTTCCCTTGTGGCCCAGGGTGGGTCTAAATGCTTCTTCTGTGGGCACCAGCCTGGAATCAAGTGCTGTGGGGTTCTGCCCAGTGCCGTGTGTCACTATGGCAAGACTGGTACTAAGTTTCAATATAAAGTCTCACACTTTCCCCCTTGTCCCCAAGCCATTAGATTCTCTCTCAGAGAATTTCCTGTGGTTGGGGGAGAGGTGTCATAGGCAATGCAAGACTGTCCTTCCTCCCTTCTTCAATGCATCTTTTCTTGTTAGCATGTTAAAAGCGGGTGCTATGATCTCTCACCTGGCTAGCCCTTGTGAAAGTGTTTTCTTACATAGATAGTTGTTTAATTTGATGTTCCTTCAGAGAGACCATTGCCGGAGAATTCTATTCTACCATCTTACTCCACCTTCTACCTGTTTTTATTTTTTAAATGTTTCTAGTACATAATTGTGAAGTGATAGCTTATTTTAATCTTGGGAATCAAAAGCATGTAGCTAAGAACTTTTCCCAAGGAATATTTCAAAATTTTTATATCAATGTTTATGGAATGACATACTTTTTGATTCAAGGTTCTTAAATGTAGTTTTAGTTTTGATTCAATGTTATAGAACACTGTTTTTTTAAACTGTGATCTGAAGCCCACATGTAATGGAATCACCTGGGGTGCTTATATTAAAAAAATGCAGATTCTAGGGCTCACACCAACTAAATCTCCTGGGATTGGAGACCAGGAGGTAGCTCCTATAATCTCCACAGCTGCTTCTCAGGCACACCAAGTTTAAGAACCATTCTTTCATATTTTCAGACTGGGGATTCTTACAAAATGACAAAGAAGGAAAACCTTAATCTTTTAAAGTTAGAGTTCAAGCATTAGACTATATGCTTCTTAAACACAGTTTGTCTTTCCCATTTTCTCTTTCCAGTTCTTTATACTGTCAAGGGATTGGTGCAGAAATGGGAAACAAAGCAGTGAAAGAAAAACTATTTATTTCTTTATACACATCTTGCTTAAACAATCACCAAAAAGACTTTCATTTTCTGTCACCCACGCTGTCCACCAGTTATGTTGGCCTTCAATATGTGGCGTTAGCAACATATATAAATCTATATCATATATTTATACACACAAACACATTCTACCAGCACTGTGAAGACACAGACTAGGCTTTACTAGGCTTGGGGCCTCTCCCATGCCACTTAAAAATGAGCACAGGTTTGCTCTATGCAAGAATTTCAACAGAGTTGGTCTGGCCATCAGTCTGCAATTTCCCCGAGATAAGATAGGGTGACAAAATGGGACAGCAACTTTGAAGTGAGGTCAGTCCAATTTGGATATCATAGAAGAAAAGAAATAGGATGTGCTAGGTTAAGCCTGAGATGGTATCTGGGAAATCACCACATTCATGATGTGAACTCAAAGAACACAGGTGCTACAGTGCAGACCAAAGCCCAGCCTGACTCGACCCAACAGGGTCAGGTGTGGATCTGTGAGTAGTGCTCACTGAGCCCCCGCCAGCAGTGTCCGGCAGGGCACCGCTGCTCCGTAGTGTGCTTTTAGAACCTGCCAGAGGAGCTCCAGCATTGGGACCACGTGCCCCTTTCATCGGAATCAGGGTCCTATATCCACTGAGTTTTCCATCTCAGGACAGCTGATGAGGCAAGAAATGTGCTCTTGCTAGTTCCCAAGCTGCTGGGGCTGTTGAGAGGCAGTATCACAAAACCTTCTGTGCAAACTACGCATCTTTTGCTTAGTGCTGGGCCAAGTGGACCTTGGCTAACGGTATTCCATAGCTGTCAGAAAGGCTTTCTGCCTTTCTCCCAGCTCCACCAGGATACATCTCTGACTCCCTCTTCTGGACCCTCCAGTGGACTTGGAGGAATGAGGCCCAGATGCTCCTCAGCAGATAGGTAGCTGCACAAAAGGGGGACAGGCTCACCTTTCCTGCTGTTTTAAGGACTTCTGGTGGCTGCGCTTCTTGCATGGTTCCTGGAAGGCAAGGGTCACAAGGCTGGAGTACACGGCAGAGCCCTTAGGGATTTCACCTGCAGACAAACATAAAACAAACCAAATCAGTGTATATTGCCAGGTCCTACTGATGGCTACCTGAAGCTGGAGTGAGAGCTACGTGGTGACCAAAGCCAGGAGCACGGTGAGAGCCAGTTAAGAGGATGAGCTAAGAGCATGCGCTACAGTCTGGAGGAGCAACAGGTGCCCGAGGTTAGGGGGAGCCTCCCCACCTCCCTGTGTGCTGAGATCCCTGCTCCAATTCACTGCACACTGGGTGGCTGGATCCTACCACTCCCCCTTCAGGGGCCAGGTGACTCTCCAAATCACTTTGTCTCAGCAGAAAGAGGCCTTTGCCATCTCCACCCAAGAAAGAAGTGCTTAGCATGAAACATGCACATATAGAAACAGCCTGTTTGTAGGAAGAAGAGGACATTTTGCTGGGAAGTCCTCTGTTAAGTTTATGTCCAGTTGCCATAATGAGGGTGTGGAGGGGCCAAGTCCACAGGGACCTCAGAGCTCAACTAAGTTCAGTTCCATCTTTGACAGATGAGGGTGCAGCAGTCTCACAGAGACTAAGGGACAAGCCAAAGCCACACAGCAGTTAGTGATAAGCCAGGGATTAGAACCGAGGCCTCGGGTCCTTTCCAGTGATCTATGGGAGGTGGAGGGGAAAGCTTCCACACTGGAGAAAGCCAGTGGATACTAGAGATTTTTGGGTTACCTTTTAGTGGATACTAGAGACTTTTTGGGTTACCTTTTCTGGGACAGGAATAAGGCTTTACAGAGGCAATCCTGTAAGTGCTGCTCTAAAGAGGCTCAGGAAAGAGAAGAATTATCAGAGAAAAACAAAAGGGAATTAGTGAAAAAATAAAAAAAAGAGCAAGTTAAACTGGCCCAAGTCATTTTCACACTATGGAGATCAACATTCTCTCAGGTTATGGATTAGAAACATTTCTAGGAATATGCTGAATTGCTTATGGCAAAGCTTTGATGTCCATGTTAAAAGGTTTAGTTTCTGATTTTTAACCATTTCATATACCTCAAGTTTTTCTTCAAAGCACTTCCTAGGGAATGATTAACACTTAGTGTTTTAAGTAAATGTAGATAATGTCTGGTACATATATAACATTTTTTCCCTGAAGGTTCAGTTGTTATTTATTAACAAATTTGCTTTTAGACCAATGAGACCCAACAGATCTCTTTTGTCATGTTACTTAAAGATATAGCAAAATCAAATCGCTGTTCTTAACCCGGGAATGTGCAGTGAAATCAGTTTATTAGGTTGCAAATTGCTTTTACTTTTTCATGAAGAGTAGAACACATAACTGGCCTCAAGATCCCTCTACTAGAAGCTCATTCAGAGGCAGACTCCCGAATGTCTAATGACTTCAAGAGTCAGCTGAATTGCATTTCTCCAGTCTCTGAACTTGGCCTCAAAGAAGAAAAATTGGAGTAAAAAGGAGAGATGATGACAATGTGAGAGTGAACCAAGATACAGGGGCAGGAGCTGATGGGGTGGGAGGGTGATAGGGACAGAAACTAGCAGGATGCTCACTGAGGACCTGTGATCTTGCAAGTGGACCCCAAATCTTCTCCTGGAAGGCCAAAGCAGGCCAAGAGTCACCTACAAGATCTGCTAACGGATGGTGATGGGTGGGGGACAGGCTTGGTGCCTCTGACTGGTGCAGTAGTTTCCTTACCTCTAAGTTAGTCCTTGCCTTCTTTAAAACATCATGTGTTCTGGTTACTGAAACAACAAAAGAGCACCACAGAGTAGAAACCACCAGCAGAAATTAACCCTACTTGCTTAGCGTGAGAATTCTAAAGCATTTATTTCTTTCTGGCTATTCAGCTTGGAGTCTCCTTCTATCCACCCCCTGTCCTCCCCTCCCTCTGCAGCCACAATTGCTCCTGGCACAGGAGGTTTGGGGACATCAAATCAGTCTCCACTCCCAACATCCCCAAGCCCCCCTGATCACTTCTCATCTGAAGCACAAGTGGGGCATCGGGAAGACTGCCTGTTTCTGCCCCCGTTCCCTCTCAGGGAACCTACGCTGGCTGACAATGAACTGTTCCATGCTCTCCTTCTGCTGGTTGGCGTTCTTCAGATGCTCAGTTGTGCTCTGAAGGAGCTGCTCCTGTTTGGATACTTTGGTTCTCAGTTCCAGAAGTTCCCTTTCTGTTGATTCTCCCTGGATAAGAGGAACAGACTCTTACTGACCAGGCAGAAGGCCTAAAGCACCCTGTGCTTTGTGGCTCTTTCCAATTCAAAGAAGGATTCTACAGTCTTCTCAACTCTCTTGAACTGGATTTCCTCCTTCACAGCCTTGGATATCTCCAGCTGAGGACAGTTCAGGATGAGGCCATTAGGTAGGAATATTGAGACTCTGGAATTCCCCATGCAGACTAGCACAGGCCCACACACCTGTAGCTTAAGAGAAACTTGCTTCAGGCTGGTTTAAAACTCCCAACTCTGAAGAGGACCTTGCTTTAGTCCTGATATCAGTTCTGTCACTCTCCCTTCACAGGTAAGATTGAGAGTTCAGAAGTGTTATGCTGGGGAGAGAGATCTGGACTCAGGGAAGTCTGCAAGTTTGTAAATATTTGTGCCAACATGAAGATGGCACAACACCCTCTCCCTGGAATTAGCATAGTTGGATCCAAAAGGTATTGGTGCCATTGACCTGGAAGTAGAATCCCTGGGGAGGGGATCCTGAAACCTGCCTACACGAGGGTCTGCCAATCAGAGTTAGCCTGAGCTCTGAGCAGATCCTGAGGGGAGGCTGACTTTCCCCAGGCCTGGTCCAGCGATGCCAGCTTAAGTGATATGCTGGGATTCCAGGCAGTCGCTAAAAAGGCTCAGTCTCATGGGGGCATTCTGTGATCATTTAACCATGGGACCTGAGGGGTAGGAGATGGGTGCTGAAGCTTTAACTGAATTTCAGCTCAGTCAAACTTCAGAGAGGTAAATAAACTGAACATTTATGGATGGCCAGGGTTATGATGTCTCCGCCTTCTTCACACCCCTTCATCTTCTTTGATTTCTTAACCAGGGGACAGGGGGCTGGCGGGGAATGGGATATATTCAGAGCTGCAATGAAAGCAGCCACCATGGGTCAGAGATGTCCCTCCAGGGACACTCCTCTAAGTTCCTGTCTATCCCAACTCACTATGTGGCTCCTGATTTTCTGGAAAAGCTGTGACATTGAGGAGACAGAACAGTATTGGAGGGCAGGAGAACTGGGTTTGAACCAAGAAAGGGCACTGGCATCTTACCACTTTGCCAGGCAGCACAGGGATGTGGGTGCTTGGCAGGGCCGCTCTCCAGAACATGGTGAGGAGGGAAGCCGACTCCTCTAGGGCATGGTGCAGGGCACTGGTGCTGCTCCGAAGCTCATGAATGCCTTTGCTGCCTAGCACCTGGGGAAAGGTAACACCACAGGAGCGGAGAGATTACTTTCTTCCCCCTGCGTGGGCTCAAGCTTCCTTTGTGAGTGAGGCATAGAACATGGGCCTGCTTGAACCTGTGAAGCCCTCACACAACCATTTGCAGCTCTCAGAACTAAGGTGCTGCTCCCTTTACCAGGAATGCCTTCCTCCACCTGCAGAACCCACAAGGCTTTCAAAACTCACCCCCCTTGCTATGTCCTCTATGAGCCTGTTACCTTCCTTGCCTGAGATAAATGACCACATTTGCATTGGCGCTCTCACAGCACAGAGGATGACTTCTCATACTGTGCCTGTAGCCCCTTACTGTGCTTATCTACTTGGGTGTGTGTCTTGCCCTCTAGTGTGGGGGCTCCGTGGAGGCAGGGCTGTCCCTACACATCCATGGGTCTCCAGCAGCTCAGACAGCACAGCCACAGGTTCCTGGTCTCTCTCACTGGCAAGGTGCTCTCAGAAGCTTTGCTGACTGCCTTCCCTCCCTCTATGCAGTCTGCACAAGGAAATGACATGGCTGCCAGGCTTCTCACCCCTTCCACATGTGGGGGCCATACACCTGCAAATCCTTCAGTTTCTATCCATCCCATTGAGTTGACTCTGCCCACAGATGGTCATGTGCCTGCATGACTATGGTAGATAATAAGCTACCAAAGGCTGCTAGGCAATGCCACATGTTTCTGTGGGGCTGAGGGGAAATATCCAGTCAGCTACATCTGGAACAGAGCAGAACTCACAGTGAAAATAGGAGATAGAGAAGAAAGGGCCTGGCTGCTATACATGGAAGAGGAAGTCTCAGCTGTTGAGAGATGCAAAGCATGAAAAAAACAAAAATGGTGGGAGAAGGAGTTAACATCAAAGGAAGAAAGGGCACAGGGAAAGAGTGCACCTAAAGCTTCAGGTGTGATTACCTCTGTGCCTTGGGCTTCAAGGCCAGGGAAGCTGCACGCTGATCTCACAAGAGACACTATCTTTTTGACCAGCAGCTTGCCCTCCGCAATCTGCTGTCTTAGGGCACTGTAGTCATCAATGTGGCCAATGACATGGCGGCCATGCTTATTGGCAAAGGAGCCATCAGTAGCATCACCCTCTAGCTTGGGAGGGGTCTTCATTACTGGAGAAGTATCCAAACCCAAGCCTGAAAAAGAAAATGACAACACAACTGAATCTTCTGTTATTCATAATGATATCCTCAGTTTGCTCCAACTAAAAAAGAGGTAGGGAACAAGAAAAGGACGAGGCCGGGAACAAGAAAGGAAGCCTGGGAATGTACAAGGGTGGGGCAAAGTCCATAGAGATCTTCTGGCTTCTATATTTTTATAATCTTTCTTACATTATCTCTTAATGATAAATTTGCCAGGAGACAATTTTTTCCTTATTGGCAAATGAAATAGGATGAATCATAATAAATAATAAGTTTCTGAGTAGAGAAGACACAGACAAGGAAGTCAAGCTGGATACAGACAGCATTTTCAAGAATAGAGAGATTATGGTGCAATGAAGCAAAAACAGCAGTAGGAAAACTACAGGAAGATGAACAATGGCAAGAAAGGCAGCCACAGAAGGTGCAGGGAGTAGGGCTAAAGGCCTTGGGGCATGCAGAGAAAACTCTCTAAATACAGATAATATGTTTAGAGACAACAAAAGGTTGTTTGCATTAATCACTTTCCATCATCAGTCCCTGGGCCCTTTAGTTGCCATATTTACCATTTGCTCTGTTGATTATGGGCGTTTCTGAGCCAGGAGTAGAGGAAGCAGAGCTGGGGAAGACCAGAGCTGGGGAATTCATACCAACATCCCGGACTGGAGGGGACACAGCTGAATCTAGGGGGTAAAGGCAACCACAGTTTTCAGGAGCCCTGGAACACACTGCACATGAAGCACATGCACACCTAGCTGTCCCCACTGAGACCTAAGGTGGCAGGACTCTCCTCTTACAGAATTATCCATACCCCACAAGCCAAAGCAAAAGCAAAAGCCTATGAGTCACTGAGTTCAGAATGTTTCCATTCTTCAGAACAAAAAGATATTCCTGTAATTGAGGGGTGTTCCATGAGAACGTAACTTCTAGTTTGAAAAATTATTAGGTGTATTTTTATAAACCGAGTCTTAAGTATAATTTGTGTGTGGTATCTAATATGATGCCCTGTAACTAAATGTAATATGTATAAATATACATAGTACAGATTAAAATCTAGAATCAAAGAATCAAGGAATGAATGGATTCATGGGGGACTCAACATTCTAGTCATCATTCTGATGAGGTAATACTGAAAAAAATTGACTTGTATGAGACGAACGGAGACAGAAGGCTTGGTGGGTTAACATTGTCTTGCTGGAGACTAAAAAGCAACCCTATGGTGGAGGAATTGGAAAATATCACAAAGAAGGTAGAAAAGGTCCTGCTCAGGCAAGTGTGGCCCAGTGCCTGCTTTCCAGCTCAGGCCTCCGGGGTGCTAGAGAAAGAGGGGCAGGGACTGCATCAGTGGGGCTGAGTCTTGGCTGCTGTATGGGAAGCCAGTGAGAGAAGAAGGCCTGGTTAGAAGGAAGAGTTGGAGACATAACTGAACACCACAACCATCAGGGCAGCCCAGAGGAGGGCAAGATGTCCAACTAATGTAAGCTGAGCAGTTCCTGGTGGTCAGGCGGTTTGCTTGGTGGACCACATGTGTTTTTTTATTGAATTGCCAAAACAGCATAATCATGTTATTGTCACCTTCATTTGACAAATAAGGTTACTGTCAGATAAATGAGAATCTACAAGAACCACAGAAAAACAAAGATTAACATGACCCAGAAATAGCTGGCAGGAGAGTTTGAAAGCTCAGCTTTAGAGAAACTGAACAGAAGTGGTTCCTGATTTGAATAAAATTGAAGGTATGGCCATGGAGGTGAGTGGAGATGGTGTACTAAACGGTGTATCAAAAGGAGAAAAGGACAGAGGAAGTAGAAATTGAATGATTTAAGAGACTAGGGGGACACCATTGACATTTCAATGAAAACTGGGAGAAGTGAGATTGATAGAGGATATTGAGAAGAGAAGGGGGACCTGGTCAAACACGCCTATCTGAAAAGGCAGGCAAGGGGTGGGGTAGAGAAAGCGAATGATGGCCACCCGAAATAAATCACCCACCATCCAGGACTTCCCCAGAGCCCTGTTTCCTTAGGGGCAGGAACATTTTACCACACACTGAGTTCCCCACCTGTGAGGGAAAGGGGGAGTAGAGAATCTGGGAAGGTCGGCAATACTGAGACAGGGCACAATGAACTGGAAGGAACACAGACTGAAAATCACAACATCTGGTTCTGATTCTGGCTTTGTCTATAACTTCTCTAAACCCCTGCTTGTCTGTTAATATCTCAGGACCTAAGTTTTCTTATGTGAAATACAGAGATAGCAAAACCTGCTTTACTTCAGATGAAATTATATATGTGAAAACACTTGGCTAAAACTAAAGCACCAAGCAAATCCAAGAAAAAGATATGAACATATACAGCTGCTAATTATTGAGTAATTCTTAGTGTGCCAAGCACTTGTAAATGATTTCATTTAATGCTCAAAATCATATAAGGTACATATGATCATTATCCTCATCTTAAATATAAGGAAACTAAAGCTTAAACCTCTGAGACTTTAGACACCTTGCCCAAATCAAACGACCTCTAAGTGGTAAACTCAGAATCTGGAGCCCAGTCTGACCTAAATCCCACGCTTTCACTCAGGCTGCTAGACTAGAGCATCTCTGATTTCAACCTGACCCTAAGGAGCATGGACCAGGCAGATTACACCTTCTGCCGCAGAACTTCCTGGTGATCTCCCCACTGGCCAAGGGCTTTCTAAGTCCCTTTTCCTTCCTACCTTGGAGGAGCAGCTGCTTGTTTCCAGGGTCAGTGCTGGCTGGGAAGTTCTGGTTAATGGAGGAGGGGCTGAGGCTGGCTTTGCCAGCACCGCTCTCCAGCTGCTGTTGCAGCTGCAGTCGCAGACAATTGTTCCCCTGAATGCTCTGCTCCAGCTGCCCTCTCAGAGCTCGTACCTCTGCCACCAGGTGGCTCAGGTCACTGCTCAAAGGGATTTGGTGACAGGCATCCAGGCTGTAAGCTGAGAGAGAAGGAGTCTGGTAACATTCACCCAAGTATTTCCAAGCACTTGTCAGAACCCTCCTCTGTGACATTCTTTTCTGCCAAGGACCCCACTATCATCTGAGTCTCATGCAACCCATCTGTGATGGAGGTGTCACCATTTCTGTGTGTGGCCTGGGGATGGCACTGAGCTGGCACACATCCAGTCTGAAACTTCCCTGCGGCTTAAGTTACACACATGCACCTATAGAGCATTTGATTGGCAGATGAAGATAAGTCCATATTTCATCTCCATAGTAACCTTAGTCCTGTAGGCTAAAGTATAGGATACTCCAAGGTAGAAGGTCAGCACTGAGCTAGAGAAGGGTAGGGGATGAGGAAGAAAGAGATTTCATAGTCCTCACTCTCAAAAATGAAAGAGAAGGAGGAGGTCTTTTGGTAGCATGTGAGAATGTGAGTTGGGCACCTTAGACGAGGGATTATAACTGAGTTTTTCAATTTCTCTCTCTCTCTTTCTCTCTCTCTCTATATATGTGTGTGTGTGTGTACATATATATACACCTACATATAGTGTGTTTATATATGTGTGTGTATATACATACTATATATAGGTGTATATATGTACACATATACATGTACACATATACATGTACATATACATGTACACACATATACATGTACATATACATGTACACACATATACATGTACATATATATGTACACACATATACATGTACATATATATGTACACACATATACATGTACATATATATGTACACACATATACATGTACATATATATGACATGTACACACATATATATACATACACATATATATAAATATATATATGTATGTATATTTACCTCCATTCACCACATGGCTATTTCTTTGTACTGGGGATGAAGAGATCTAAGAAATATTCTACGAGGCTACAATCCCTTATCTGAAAACCTTAAGGCCAAATGTATTTCGAAAGGTAAAATTTGTTTTAGTTTTTAGCAAGGCAACAGGGTGCATATATCATATATAACATGTACCCAGTTGCATGTGAGCCACAATCCTTTATCAAACATATAACTATTTCCGCAATGAGCTATGTGAATATTCTAAATAGATAAATAAAGACTTATGAATATCCTCATGTCAGATCATCTAGATTTTGTCACTAAATGAGTATTTGAAAAATTTAATTTGGAAATCTTACTGGATTTTGAAATTACAGATAAGAGATTATGGAGCTTTAGTGGTTGTAGCTTTGAAATGAGTCCTAAAAGGCAGGGAGAAAAGCATGAAAGGAAAGGGAGCTCAGGATGAACCAATTTTACGGACTTTGGTAAATAATCTACTCTTGAATTTTGCCCAAAGTTTTATGATGTTCCTCTCTCTCTTTCTCAACCCAACTTCTCACTAAATTTTGCTTATTTTTTAAGAGATGTTTTAAAATCTATCTATACCCTTTCATCTTCCCAATAGCACCTTATATTAGACTGTCATCTCTTAATGTGCCAGAATATCACTAGACCCATCCAATACGTTTCCCAGATTCTAATGTCTCCCAATTCCAGGACATCCCCTAAGACTTAGCATCCTAAAGTTCTGTTTTCATCATATGCTTATCTTCTTTGAAAAAGAACAGACTTAGTTTCATTATCTACTATACAGAATGTCAACTTTTACCCTGACCTGTGAGCTTTCAAGATTTGGTGACTCTGCTCCACCATCCTGACTTCTCACTCCAACCTCAAGCTTCTCCTGTGGTCAGGCTGGTCCCACTGACCCAACACTCACCATGACTGTGTACTTAAATTATTCTCCCAGCCTGGTGAGCCCCCTCTATTTCTTCAGGTTCCAGTTCACCTTCTCTTTAGAAAATCAGGAAACTAAATCAGGATTTATGATAATTCGAATCTAACTTCCACTGCCCTTCACTCTTTGTTTAGCCTTCTGGAGGGACATAAAATACATGAGTTCTTTTTCACCTGACACTTCTTCAAATATCCGAAGCCAGTTCTCATGTCCTCAAGATCTTTTGAAAGCCTACATTTCTTTAGTTTCTTTGACTAGTTGGAGATTTCTGGTCCACACCATTGTGCGCCCTGTCTTCATTATGTTCCCTAGTGTGTCAACGCCCTTTTCAAAGATGGTGCTCCTTAATCTAACAATATTTTAGACATGGTCTCCACAGGCGAACATCACACTTACACTACTGTAGTTCCAGTTTGAGCTGGCATTTCTAGCAACCTTTGTCCTACACCTTACTTGTGTGAACATGTTTCTACCAAACCCCAAACCCTCATGTCCATGAATGGCTGCCTGTCCTATATTTCTACCCTCAACCTATATTTCTACCACTGATATTTTTAATCGAGCTCAGGATTTTGCTTTTTATCTTTGCTAAATTTCACGACATTGATGTCGTCCTCTGTTCCAGCCTGCTGTGACTTATTCACATTATGTTTTGAATACCCTTCTCCATTTAAAGAATGAAGAAATATATCAAAATTCTCAAATATTAGATTATTATTTCAGCAGGCAGCAAAGTCTTCAATAAATGTCCTTAATATTTAAATCCAGGATTGAAATTTAGGTCCTATTAGTGGTATTTCTATAAGGTTTTTTTGTTTTTGTTTTTGTGTCTTTTAATTTTCTCCTGTGGGCAGGCTGGTCCCCACTGACTCAACACTCACCATGACTTTGTACTTAAGCTATTCGCCCAGCCTGGTAAGCCCCTGTATTTCTTCAAATTCCAGTTCACCTTCTCTTTAGAAAATCAGGAAACTAAATCAGGATTTATGAAAATTACATGAAAGGGCAATAAGCTGAGAGCCAGATGTCACTACGGAAAGGGTCAGGGTGGGAGCAGACTGCCTGCTACATTGGGCTGAATGGGTTGTCAGTATGTATTACCAACAATATTAAAGGCCTTTTCAAATGATGATATCATTAGGACAGTTCTTTTGCTTTCAAAAATGTTACAATCTAGACATTGATAGGAATGTCTAGATTTTCTTAAAGTAATTAGGAATGATCAGGCCGGATCTTGCTCGTGCCACCAACCTGTCCCGTTGGGCTTTGTGTTTGAGAGCTCCTACTGGGAGCCCCAGGCTCGGGTGGGGGTTTCTGTGACAGAACTCTGTAGCTTCCCATGATCTCCACAACTCCCAAAGGAAAGACCTCACTAGCATCCTATGCAAGGGCAAAAAGCTCATGGGGTGAGGGGAGAAGAACACATACCTTTCAGCCCCTTCTTGGAATTGCCATAAAGTGCCTCGTAGATTTGTAGCTCTGACTGGAGGGACTCAAAGAGCTGCTGTTTCTCTTCACACTGTTGCTGCAGGAGAACCAGCTTGTGCTGCAGTCTGACCAGGGAGAGGCAAGGCCCACTGAGATGGCAGAGCTACTCAGCCACACCAGAGCAACAAGCTGAGAGCCAGATGTCAACTCAGAGGGTCATAAAGGGTTACAGTTAGGGTTACATCTGAGCCCCAGATGTCAACTCAGGGGGTCATGAAGACTATCACTTTTATTTTGCAGATATGGAAATGGAGGCTGAGGGAGGTCAAGTAACTTTGCTTGAAAACACACCATTACCTACATTAGTTCAGAGCAGAACAGACACACCAGCACAGTCTCCTTACTGTTCCTACAGTGCTGTTTGCATTCTGACAAGCAGTTACAGGGCTTATGCTGGGACCAAGCATCACAGCCAGTATAGAAGCTTCCTAGGTGATGGTGAGACTAATGTCCTATATCTAATTGGAAGCATGGGAACCCTTCTTTTTTCATGTCTCTGATATACTGAAGACTTCTATAACAGAGTTTTACTCTCTCAACTTGGGAGTGACAAGGCATTCCCAGAGAAGTCCTTTCTTCTGCTCAAAGCGCCCCTCCCCCCACCCCACTGACACACAAAAATCAGGAATAGCAGAGGGAACATTTAGGTTTCCAAAAGAGGACATCAATTGTCTTGCCAATATCCCTTCCTCTTGTAATGTAAGAATGAATGTAAGAATGAAGAATGCTACCTTCTCTGTCAATGGGTCCCCTCTTACCTGGAGTCGTTTTCCTGGAGGGAAAGACGTTCCTCCCTGAAATGCAAGACCTCTTGCTGCTTCTCCCTCAAGTCTTCCAAAAGCTGCTGCCTTTCCACCTTCTGGTGCTCCAGCTCCTTTTCCAGCTCTTGAAGGTGGGATCGAGAGGACAGCAGAGCCTCCCTCAGGCTTTCTGTTTCCTGGGAGTGCTCTGGTGAGAGGAACACAGGATTGATTTATTATCATGGGGCCAGAGCTCAGCTGGAAGATGACCCCAAGCACATCCACCCTGACAGACAGAGCTAAGGAGCAGGGAAGGAAGGCCCTATGTTGGTGGGAAAAGCATGCTGGCTCAACATCCCCCAGAGCCTGGAGCACGGTGCCTCTCTCTCTTTGCAAAACCCTTCATGCCACTTATTTAATCTGTCCTACCTTGCTCTTAGAGAAATTCTGCTTTCTAATGATCACCACTTTCCAAGTGCTCACATATCGTCTGTTCAATAATCCATTCTTGAATTTTGACAAAGATCAACGTCAAGATTTCTTTTTGGATCTCATTTTCATTATTTTGAAAACTGGGATTTTTTGTTTTTGAACTTGCAGCACTTCTCTGATCTTCACAAGTTGTCAAAGATTATTGAAGGGACTCTAAAAATACAGCTGCAGGCTCAGTAAGTCCTCTGGGGAAAGAGTCACCTGAGCCTGGCAAATTGTATTCGTTTAAATCTCTTACTGTCTTCTCACCTGTGAGGTCTGTTCTATTCTCTCCAAGCATGCAATGGTAGCTCAGTAGTTCTGCCCTCTTTCTTATCTGTTAACTTTTGTTATCGTCCCCCAGCAGTGACCTTTCCTCTCAAATCTTCTTGCTAATACAGAAATCAATTAATTAAATTAATTAATTTGGGTGGCTAATTTAGAAATATCTCTTGGTGGCTTTTTCCTTTTCCACAAGCATTCCTTCATTCTGGGCTTAATCCTTTTGGATACTACCCTCAGTCTTTTCATGGCTGTTCATAAATATTTGTGAATAAAAATACTTTGTTATCGATAATACATTGATCTGATCAAGTAGACTAACACCAAGGTCAGCTGCCTCCCAGCCACACGAGAAATGATGCCCACCTGTGAGCGCCCCCTGGCTAGGGCTGGGAAAGTGCTGGGGGGCATTTGCTAGTGCCACTCGGCATGGAGTCATGGGAGTACTGACCAGAGGGAAGCCCTGAGTCTATGAGTGAGAGATGTGGTGAGGAGGCAGAGGGATGGCACAGCAGGGCCAGGAGCGACACATGCTGCTGCAGTAAAGTCTGGAGAAACTTGAGAGGGAAGATAGGCATTCGCACTCCCTCCTTTATTGGTTCCAAGTCAGTTGTGAGTGAAGGGAGGTAGAGCAGATACCAGACTGGTATCCAAATTGATAGCTTGTGACTCTGGATATATGCAGGTGGGCTTGTACAGAAATGATGGATTTCCTAGAGCTCTTCGCTTCTGGGGACTAGGAGTCTGAGGGGCCCACAGTTGGAACATCTTAGAAAGCAGCCTTCTCTAGACTGAGAATAGCTGTGAGTTTGGGTTGGTGGATCTGAGTAGCTCTGTTACCTCTACCTTCTTCTGTTTGCTTCTCCAGTTGGTGATTAGTGTGGCCAGGGAAGAAAGAAACTTAAGAGTGACCACAGTTTGTGGGTTTTGACCACGTACCTCTGGAAACATGACTCAGTTGAGCCTGAAGTCTTCGATTTTCTTCCCTGAGGACTCTGTTCTCATTGCAGAGCTGAGGTATGGACTCCAGGCCCTGACTGTAGAAGTTAGAAGTGGATCCTGTCCCAGAAAGTAGACATTTGGGTAACAGAAACTTTCAAAAGTTTCCCATTCGTTATCTCTCAAAGATACTGCCCCAACCCAGCAGAAAACCCCAAGGACTGAAGGCCTGGCCCTGAATGAAGCGTGGGGGGCTGGGTACATGTTTTCTGTGTGCCTCTTCTCAGTGGATTCTTTGCGTGCATCATCACATGCCGTAACTGCAATGGTGCAGGAGGCTCGATCTCCCTAAACAGCTGCTGCTGTGGTATAGGCAGGACAACAACATATGGAAAGACTGGCCTCCACGTGACAGCAGCTTGGAAGGAGAGTGTAAGGAGAAAGGCCACCTTGGTAAAGAGGCGAGGGTAGAGGTGGGAGGACCCTTACAGACCTGGTTCCACCACTTATCAATCACACAACAAAGGCACAGACATCAGCAGTATATAAGCAGATTAAGTATGGGGTGAGAAGTCAGGTGACTCTGGGCACCAGACGTAGTTCTGCCTTAAAGAGAGTTACTCTCTAAACTCAGATATATTCAGAAAGTAGGGATGACAGTACTTGCCCACCTCCCTTGCTGGACTGTTCATAAGGAGCAAGTGAAGTAAAGAATATCTGTGAAGCTCTGCCTAAAAGTCCCTAAATAGAGCCAGAAACAGGAAGGTCTGGGCCTCTCCTACCCCTTCCACGAGCAGTAGAGGTCAGCCGGTGTTCCAGTTGCTCCCGTAGGCAGTCATTGATGCAGATGGACTCCTCCAGGCGCTGGCGCAGGTTCCGGATTTCACCAAGATGCTCTTCCAGCAGGTCAGCCCCTGCGGCCAAACCACCAGGACATGAAGAGAGGTGGGAGATGGAGAATCCTGGTTACTGATGGGGGTGGGGCTCGGCTAGGGGACCTGCAGCAAGACCTGTAAATATCACTAGCCTTCTGCCAACTGTGTCCTCTCACACGGACACCCAAAAGAATGGTAGTTTTGTTTAAACAGTCAATGTGCTTTCAAACACATGACAGTCACTTGCTAAAAAATCTCCATGGGCCTCCTCCCACACAGGGGTCTTGTGAGAGTTCCACGTTTTAGAAAAATAACTGAGGGCTCTGGACAAGGCCTGCCTAGCATCTGGAAAGGTGTGGCCACCTCCTGGGTGTGACTATGAGGATGATAGGTGAGACCTCACTCTACCTTTCTTCTTACTGACACGTGAGTGAGCATTCTTTAGCAAGGGACAAAGCCCTTCCTCCCACCCTTAGAAAGAAGGCCTAAAGTAAAAGTACGTGATCTTACACTCACCCTATGCGGTTAATGACTGACACTGAATGCTTCCCTGAAATCACTTTTAATATGGAAGATGAAAGAATAGCCTGGAAGGATCTAGAGATCTGAAGGCAAATTAGAGAGGGGATGACACCCCCCTTCCCCCTGCCAAACAAAGCAAAAATATCCAGAAAAGTCAGACGGATGCTTACACCGGACATTAACTGCACCATTTTGCTTTGGGCTCAGTCTTTTCCTGAAAATTACGATTGTCTTACTGTTGGAACTGCGCGGCATCTCAGCATTTATGAGCTTAGCTATACCTCTCCACTTGCTGTGACTGAATTTTGTGCACAGGATATATGTGCAGGGTCAGGGAGCTGCACCCTTACACCCTTTCCTGTGACAAGTCCTGACTGATGGAAGAAAGTCCCATCTATGCCTGGCATTCTGGAAGGGTCTAAGAGAGTGGGCTGCAAAGAGGCCAGGCTGCAGAGGGATGGAAGGACATGAGTGTGACAGCACAAGAGGTGGGTCCCTGACTTTCCCATATCCCTACAGAGCACTGAGGCCCTGGGCAGGAGAATGAAGAAATGTACTTGGAAAGGATTGAGCCCTGATACAGCTCTTGCATTTTATATCCACTCTGTGAGCCAGGGATGGAGGAGGAATGAAATAGTCCTGCCTGGGTAGGAAAAGAGTAGACTCCAAATGAGACTTCTTTTCAAAGGCTGCCATCTCTGCTTTGTGCTTTACCTGTGGGTTTGGAGTTAAGCTGGTACACAGAGGAGCCTGAGGATAGGTCCCCAGATACACTCCCTTTCTGAGGCCTCATCACATCCCACTTGCCACTGCTGCCCAGGTACCCAGGCTCTAGGATTCTTCCCAGTTCTATGGTGCCCCTTGGAGGAGAGTGAGGCTGGGCAGAGTTGAGGTAGTAGGAAGAGTCGGCTTCCAAGTCGTTGCTCAGCAATGTAGCTGTGGAAGCAGGAGGAACAGTGCTGGTACCTGGGCAGAAAGAAACATTAGTAAGAAGCAACTGGGGTGTCAGAAGGGAAGAATTTGCAAGGAAGTATGTGATTGCTAAGAATAGAGACTAAAAGGAGACATGTGGAATGTCAGAGATCCCAGTTCACTTTGGTATACTAATTAGACTAAGGCTTGTAACCTAGAGGTTGTAACTCTCACCCTTTGTATTTCCTAGCAGGAGACACAAGAGGTAGAGAATAAAGTATCTTAAAGTCATCAGTATATACAATGGAAAAGTCCAGTGGCCCCACTCCTGGATCCTACTATAATCCTTCATGACAGACTCCAAGGAAAGTTCTAAAAGTAGGATTCACTCCCACAGTTAGAAGTTGTGAGTGCAGTGGAATGCAGGATTGAGCTTACCTGTGAACACGAACATCTGTTTGTCTACATGTACTTGCCTTCCCCTGAAACTAACTAGTCAATATGTCCGTTCCATGTTGGAGTTTTTCAGAAGAGAAAGGGGACATGAAATCAAGCTGGATATGGTGGCCCTAGTTCCTCCAGACTGACGAACTCTTTGCTGAGGCTGGGGAAGGGCCTATGTAAGGCAAGTATTTATTTGGATCCCATCCAACATGACTCAAGGAGCTGCAAAATGTCATCACTCCTGTCTAAAGAATCATTGAATACTATTCCACAGAGGCAGGTAGGACCTTTCATTTAATAGGCTGATACTTTCATAGATCCTTTGAAATCATAGGCCTTTCCCTTGAGCCCCGTCATCTCCACTTCTCTGTAAAAAGAAGCCTAGCATGGGGGAGATGAGGAAAGAGGTGGGCAGAGACACAGTTTAGGAGAAAATTCAGAAGCCTGCTTTCTTTCAGGGATTATGAACATGGGCAGCAGAATAGACAGGTAGCTCCTCCTAAGCAACAGGAGTGAGGTCGTTGTTTCTTCCATCCAAGCCAAACTCCTTGGAGGGGTTAGTGTAATTGCCACTTGCCAGTTTTTAGCCCTACTTGTAGCTGGTTCTCAAATGTGGGTACATATTGGAATCACCTGAGAAAGTATGGAAACATATACTGATTCCTGGATTCCAGAGATTTTGCCTTAGTCTATATGGGATACATCTTGAACAATGGATGTTTTAAATTCATTTTAGGTAATTCTAATAGGCAGAAGTTTGGGAAGTCTTGTCATGAGTCTCTCTTCTAATTTGCAAAATACTAGATGTTCATTAGGATCACTTAGTTGAGGAAGAAGGTTAAAAATTTAAGCACCTACATTTTAGAAGGAATGCAACAAATACATGATTTCCTACCTCTTTCAAACTGCCTTCAACCCCATCCGAACACAAGGCAAAGGGAGAAATCAGTGGTTGCAGATAGTCAGCTTACTTTTTAATCAAGGCCATGTGAGGTTTTAAGTCTATCAGTAACAATGATCAGTATTCTCATGTTCCAGTCCCTTAGCCACACAATACACAGTACATGCTCTAAACCATGCAAAGATACCATACAGACTCTTGCACAAGATTTTAACCCAGGGACCTGAGAGGCCACCATGCACCACTGTCCACACGGAAACTTGGCTCAAAGCAAACAATGAGCATGTATAAGCAATGGTCCCTTGGAGAGGACCTTGACTTCAGGTGGAGAAAGAAAGGGCTACAATCTTCCTCATCTAGGCTGGGACCATTTGAACTCCGGTCAATGGCCTCAGACTTGATGTAATTCCAATTTAACCCAAAACAACAGACCCTTTTTCATGGACAGTGCTCTCCTTCCATCCTTCCGTTTGGGCAAAGACAAATGGACAAATGTGGAAAGATAAAGGAAAAGGAGGCAAGATAAAGAAATGGAAGCTAGAAAATACTCTTGCCATTTGTCATGGGACACATTTGTTGCCCATTCATTGTTGGTGCCAGAACTGCTAAAATAACAAGTTTTAGGTCAGAAACAGCAGCACTTCCTACTGGTCTCTAAAGAGAGGGAAAAAATTGTTGCAACGAGTCCCCAGAGTTTGATCAGCTGAGCTCAGCTCCATACTCTAAGCAGGATGGTGACAAAGCCATCCTAAGTAGAAAAGATATAACAGAAACATAAAACCTGGAGCAGAAGACCAGATTCAACCCCATCTCTCCCACTTACCAGTGACCTTGAACAAGTAACTTCACTTCCCTGAGCTTTACAGTTCCCTGCATTAGACAAAGTACCCATTTCCTGGGTTGACAAAATAAATAGGCTAAGCTGGGTGCAGTGGCTCATACCTGTAATCCCTGCACTTTCAGAAACCAAGGTGGGCCGATCACTTGAGCTCAGGAGCTCTAGACCAGTCTTGGCAACATGGCGAAATCCTGTCTCTACAAAAAATACAAAAATTAGCCAGGTGTGGTGACACACACCTGTAATCCCAGCTACTTGGGGGGCTGAGGTGGGATAGTTGCTTGAGCCCAGGAGGTAGAGGCTGCAGTGAGCCGAGATCGTGCCACTGCACTTCAGTCTGCGTGACAAAGTAAGACCCTGTCTCAAAAAAAAAAAAAAAAAAAAAAAGAGGAAGAAGGAAAGAAATATGCTGGTCCACATGACATTTGGGGCTGTAGGGAGGGGGATGCAAATTCTTGGCTGTTGTCTTGCATCACTAGAAACTTCTGGCATGGTGACCCTATCAGTCTCTGGCTCACCTAAGCTTCTTTACAGGCACAGAAAGTGCCTGACAAATGAGTTTAAGTTCATTCAAACTGCTTTTTAACTGTTGTGCCTAAGGTGCTATGAAAGAGCAAATTCATGTGAAGGTTGTCATTTTTTTCTAAGCTATCAGTGACCACCAGCACACTAAATTTATGATGAGCATCCAGCCTACAAATACATCAAAGCACTTTCTAAAAGGTGACTGTCCACAGTCTACGTAACTACATGAGATCAATTATCTTTGGGAGTCAGAGGATGGGATTCACAGTCAGATGCCATAGCTGGTGCTGTGGTTCTAAGCTGCCTACGTGTCACCTGTCCCAGGGCAGGGACCAACCCTGTGCAGTAGGAAAAGGGGCTCATCATTTCCTCTTCTGAATCCCTCTATCATTACCCTTTTTGCTCCAACCTAATGATATCAGGAACTGAACTTGATTAACAGCATTTCATAGCAGAAAAATATAATAGTCACACAAAGGAGCCCACTGAATGTGGCCATCTTTTTCTTGGCCACTTCATCCTGCATAGGCAAAGCATAACATCTCTCTCCCACCCCCTACCAATGAGCAGTCCACCAGTCTGTCAGGGATTCAGCATACTTGGTGGTATCCAACACTGTCTACAGTGTGAGAGCACCAGGTCTAGAGCCTCGTGAACATATCTACCTGTTAACTGATGAGACATACACACCACAGAAATAACAGTAAATACATTTCCAAAAAATAAGCAAACAGAGCTTTCCCTCCCTCTTACATTTGTAACGTGTACCCGTGTTGTTTTTTTAAACTCTGCCATCCAGCCCGAGCCATGCAGAGCAACACAGTGTGGGGCTGCCAATCGCAAGCACACAAATGCAGAAGTGCTCACTTTCTCCCAACTGCTTCTGCAGCATCTGTAGCTCCTGCTGAGACTCAGCCAAGGAGACCTCTGGTGTCTCACAGCAGCCAAGGAGGGGAGGGCCAGTGGGGCTGAAAGGCAGGAAGCTGGATGGAGCTGAGGGCAATGGTGCCTGAGGAAGGCTAGCCAGCTTGGGTATGGAGTGAAAATGAAAGCCTAGGAACAGAAAGTTAAGGAGAAAAGAGACACATCATCAAGAGAAAATGAGAGAAAAGAATGGGTAAAAGATTGAGAAGGTAAAAGCATTCCCTGACCAGACATCACCCTGCGGAGTGGCTATCATCTAGTGTGGTACAGGATAAGACAGCCAAGGGTGACCATTGCTACCAGAGGCTGGCCTGGCTGACCTTCCCTCTTCTCCCCTGCCAGGGCTATCCTGCATATATCCTCTGTGTTCATCTTGAAAGCAATTGGCTAAAGAAGGTAAGGTGGCATTATTGAGCCCCACCCCAGCAATCCTGGACATGGACAAGTCAGAGAGCCTGAATGCTTTCAAGGGCCCCTGGGGCTCTGCTCCCAGCATGTATCAGTCCTTGGCCCTGGGACAAGACTCTTTCTCTACCTAGAGCTCCTCTTTGACAGCATCAGGTCCCATCCTGAGTAGGAGAGATGTGAACAAAGGCTGTGGGGAAATTTTCATTACTAGTGCATGCAGTTCAGGACTCTGATGGAAACAAACTTCAGAATTCCAAATCAACGTGTTCATTGACCAAATTAAAAATAGATGCCTTGGTAGAGTGGCTTAGACAAAATGGCTTGCAAATCCTTCTGGGCATTTAAATCACATAGCAAAAACTTCTAATATATGTAGATTCTTTAGGCCTTCTTGATTCTGTCTAGGCCTTAATGTAGACTTACAGAATTATAAATTCTTGGAACATGAAATTTACATTTAAAAAAAGTCTTCCCTGGTGATCTTTAGGCAGCCCATCTACAGACAGGTTTTTAGAAACCCTGGCAAGGTTCAATGTTTAAAATTGTTTCCTCTTCCCTAAAAGCAATTAAAGGGCAGGTAGCCAATGGAGAGGGAGCAGAAACCAAGGCTGACCCATAGAGAATGTCTAATGTAGAAGACAATGATTATATCCTAAAACACATCCCAATGGTGCTGGCACCATTTCAGATCAATACTGCAAATATACTCAAATTGCCAGGTAACACAGCCCAGGCATTCTTTGAGGAGGCATTCTGATTTTAAAATCCTCTGTTCTTTACCTACTGCTCTGTTTGAACCCACAACATTTAAGCAGATGTCTATAAGTCTGGAAGCACAGCTTTTCCTCATGATTCTGGTCCAGCTGCTGCCTACTCTGGCCTAGAAACTTTGAAACCAGGCTCAGGAAGCATTGGAACACTTCCTCTTCCTTAAGATTTTAGTTGAATTGCTTTCAGGGAAATGAGGGCAGCAGAAGAAAGCACTGTGCTTTCTGGGAGCACCTCTACTCAAGTCAAACCTCACAACAAACCACACTGAAGGCAGCCAGCCAGCTATGGTGGGAGGTAGGAGGCGAAGACAAGGTTTGCCTTTTCTTGCCATCCCTGGTACAGGGCTGTGAATGAGCAGTGTACCCTCCGGCAACTAAGCTGAACTTGTAAATGAAATGCACCCCTTTAACTGCCCCCAAGATATGCACTATGTACATATGGAGGACTGCCAATCCATTCATACATCCATTAATGGTAACGTACTATGAACAGAACCTTGTCTGAGGCTGTTCTCACCATCCTTGGCTACAAGTAGCACTACCTCTTGCAGAGGATCTCCATGCAGATTTAATGGGTAACACATACAGTGGATCAATAGATGTGAATTTCTTTTCATCCTATGGCTGTTGTAATCCTGGGAGAAACATTTTGCCTCTTTGCTCCCAGGATAAAATGAGAGAAAACCAATAAAAATGTTTCTTTTTAAATGATTAGCCAACTACTGGTCAGAACTGGTATGCAGATCAAAACCTGATGTGGATTACTTATTTTCTAAAATATTTTCTTAAATCAGACACAACTGGAAAATGAGGATGGTTTCTCGATTCTGTCTAGGTTTTGATGCATTTAGGCCCCTAACAGTTCAAACCTCTGTCGTTGAAGAAAAGTCAAACAGGCAGCAGAGAAAGGGGAGATGAAGCTTCTGCCCCATTGGCTGTTGCATACCTGAATGGGCTTGGTTGGCCTCCTTGGGGGTATTCTGGGGAGTTGGCAAGCTGATGGGGTTGCTGTTGGATTCGGCCTTAGCCCCCGAGATGCACTGGTTGATGATGGTTTAGAAGACAACACAGCAGAATGACTCGAATGATGGATGGAATCTATAAAACCCATGAATGAAAGAAAACGTATGATGTTCTATAGAGAACTGGAATCCTGCCCTTATGTTTACCCAGGGGTACCAGGGCTAGAGTCTTGCTTTCAGGGAAAGAACCAAGCACAAGCACTGTTAGCAGTGTTCATTTTCTTGCTTGCAGACAGCTCCTATAGTGAGGCAAACCACCTTAGGGATGACAGCGGTGCTCTGAGCTCTGAAACATGAAAATGGCAACTCCAAAAATATCAGGCAAGACTAGCAGCATCTGTGGACACCCACATATACTTAGGGACCACTGCTCAGGAATAAGTAGCAAGATCATTGTAGGAGAGATGAAGGAGGTTTTCCATCTTAAAGAAGATCTATCTGACAGAGTCACCAAGGAAGAAGAGTCTGCCGTGATCTTCTCACTCTCCCCACAGTGGCTCACTTTGTGCCCAACAGCATGTACGTGCCCATGGAGACCACGGTGACAGAGGTAACTTGTAGAGTCAGGAGCAGAGCAAAGATCCTGATCCACTGGTGCCTGTGCATGGCACTTGGCCCCACAGCCATGTTCAGCCTGATACACACCATGGTGGAGCTATAAGCCCTGTTTCCTGAGTTCTCCACTCACCCTAGACAAAGATGGTACCACCCAGAAAGTGGAGGCTACCTGAGTGACTGGGAGAAGCTTTCTTCTCTTCATAGTGTGTGTACTCGCTGACTATGTCCATGTCAGAGCAGGCTTCCAGCTCATCAGACAGGAAAGAGGTGCTGCTGGGAGAGCGGTGGGAGTCAGACAAGGCATGGCTGCTGGAGGGTGTGAGGGACCGAGCATCCAGCTTGGCCTGCAGGACTTCAATCACTTTCTCCTTCTCCTGCAGCTCCCTGCTGAGCCTGGTGGGGAGAAGGGGGACAACGGGTAAAACCAAGGTCACCGAAACCAACCTGTCCTGACTATGGCTCATAGGAAAAGCCAAGTAAGCCAAGGGGACCATGCCTGCAGATAATTATGGAAATAACCCACCTCTGCTTAGGGATGGAGTGTAGGTGGGGTGTAGATGGAGAGAGAATAGCTACCTAGTGCTCTGGCCACATAATATGCTGAGGACAAGCAAAGACATAGCTAGCCCTCCTTTTAAGGCACTGCTGCTTAATGTATGATCCCTGGAACAGTTGCAGCCTGCGAACTGTTTGTTACCATCTCCAACAAGACAAGTATAAAAATTGAAAGCAAGCATTGAGAAACACAGAACAAACCACTGTCCCAACATCCAAGAGCATGATAAGTGGAATCATGTAATTAACTGAATTCAGACCATATATGTTTCTATGATAGATTAGAAATAAAAACAAAACAAAACAAAAAAAACCACTGTGTCCTTCACTACAGATACTTTCAGAAGCATTTATGTAGTCTGAGACACAAGCATGACACAAAGAACCCCAACTAGTGGCTACAACGGACTCTGAGCCCGTATTTCATTGATCATTATATGAAGCAACTCACTGAGAACTGGGTCCTGAGGCACTGCAGCCTCCTGGTGATCTACACCATCTAGGCCTCTTTCACCAGGTCCTGTTATATGATTCCTTTTTTCCCCCAGGGCAATTGAGTGACTATTAAATTAGCTGTCAACCCAACTTTGGAAAAAGCTCATCCTGCTTATTAAACACACAGCAGGAAAGCAGGACCCTTAGTGGGGCAGAAGACTCTTGAAACCTAGTTAGTTCACTTTTAGCTCAGACTGTTTCTAGGTTACTAAGCCTGGAGAATTAATGTGCCAATATAATTCAACCAAAAGGGAAGAAAGAATTTAGTTAAAAACAACAGTGAGGTGTTCAATGAATGCCTGAATTCAATACATTCAGCACTTTGCTTTATTCCCCTTGATTTGTGGAGTTGCCGCCACCCTTGACCCTTTGGGCCTCGGTCCCAATCTCTTTCCCAGATTCTCCTCTGAATTACCTGAGGGCCAGTGGCTCAAGTCCAGCTTGATCTTTCTCACTTTTATGATCCTCTGTAAACCAAATTTAGAAAGAGACGATAAGAAATTAGGCTGGTCCCACTTCCCGCATTACAAATGCAGGAGCCTATCTGGAGACAGAGTAGTGAGCATTTCATGTGTGCATCCAGAACAGTTATTCTGGGATACCTCAGCTTGTGTCTCTAGAGAAGTGACCCCACTGTCCCTGACCTGCCGGTCACCATGATGACTTCCTCTGCCCTAAATCAGGGTAAAACATTTATAATGTCTTTTGTTCCATTAATCATGAGGCCCTTGCCCAGCTGCCCTGCGGGACACTCCAGCCTCCATGTCCTGCTGCAGACTAGCTCCCCAATGCATATGCCCCACCACAGCTTTCATGCAGAACCTGCACTGGTCTCTGAGGAGATGACAAGAAGCCCTGCCCCACCTCTGCATCTGCCACCAGGTGGTGGGCTGGGTGGCTCCCAAGTCTGATCCTACTTTACTCCCTTGGATAGTCGCTGGAAATTCTGAGTAGAAGACCCCAATAATAACCAATGTAGCCCTTGAACTACTGCAGCCAGTGCCTAAACCATGTATAAAAGAGCATGGCGCTTTATCCATATGTGGAGTACCTGCATGCACATTACCATGCCATAAATGGAGACACCACAAGGATAAGGCATTTAGCGAGTTGGTGGCAGCATCCAGGCCAGAGCTTGAGTCTTGTAGTTCTTGGTTCAGGGCTCTTCCTCCTATAACAAAGCCCTTCCATCTCATGTCCCCTACTCCCTCTTAGCATCAGAGAGATGCTGCCCCTGCCCCACAGGTCACATTCCATTAGTGGTGAAGTTTCTATAGTTGTAACCATGGCATCTCCAGCCCTGTGTTTTCCTCTCCATGCTCCCCACTGAGCAGTCTTGATCCTGTATTAGCCCCAGGAAATGAAATAGAAACAGGACCTTAGGATAAAAAGTTGCAGTGGAGATGTGGTGGCCACCAGGGGCTGGAACTGTGGGGGTGACTGAGAGTATTCCAAAGCCCTGTGGCCAACTTACTGGTGCTGAGTTTGCTGGTGAGCCTCTCTGTCAGCTGGCTTCCCTGGGCGAGTTGCTCCCGGAAGCTCTGTCCCAGGTAGTAGTCAATGTCATTGCTCCTTAGGAGATCCTCAAAAGATTTTACTGTATCTTTTGCATGCTGGGTGATAAGATAACAAATACCTCTCCCTTCTCGTATTTTTTGCCGTAGGTAAGACAGTTCCCGGGCCTGATCCTGAATCAGGGAATCATATTTCCTAATGCAGGACAGAAGAGGAAAGAGTAAGTATGGAAAGAGTGGAAGCTAACTTATGGAGTTATGGGGGCTTCTGTAGAGATTTCTATGAGAACGTCTCTAAGGAACTCCCCCAAGCTAAATTCTGGCACATAAGCCATAGGAGGTATTTAAGAGTAAATTCTACCCTGATAAAGTATTGCATTAAAAAACTTAGTACGGGCCGGGCGTGGTAGCTCACGCCTGTAATCCCAGCACTTTGGGAGGCCACGGCAGGCAGATCACAAGGTCAGGAGTTTGAGACCAGCCTCGCCAATATGGTGAAACCCTGCCTCTACTAAAAATACAAAAAAAATGAGCTGAGCATAGTGGCACATGCCTGTAATCCCAGCTACTCGGGAGGCTGAGGCAGGAGAATTGCTTGAACCTAGGAGGTGGAGGTTGTAGTTAGCCAAGACGGCACCACTGCACTCCAGCCTGGATGACAGAGTGACTCCGTATCAAAAAAAAATTTAGTATGTCACTGTTCTTCAACTGTTATACATGTGTTAATTATATGTCCCTAGATAAATCATAAGGTCTGTGAGAATAAACATAGTTCTGCATTTTACATCCCTTACAGCACCAGTATCACATAGATTCACAGCAGTTACTCAATGAATAATTAGCATCATTTCATCCTAAGTCTGGATAGAACCTTTCATGCCTTCTGTTTTAACCACCACCTGATGCCTGAATTTCTTCTATGTTATGATACTGTGGCTGACTATATTTTGCAATGATGGCCATCACATAAACACTCATACCATCAACTGATGGGACCCAAAACAAGAGACCCTAAGTGAGAACCACCCAGCTGAGACCAGTCAAACCATAGAACCATGAAGCATAATAAAGTGTTGTTTGAAGTCACTAAGTTTTAGAGTGGTTATTACTTAGCAATAGATAACCAGGACACACCAAGATGAATGTCTGTGTTTTCAACACTAAGTATCAATAACACTTATAACTATGGCAAATAGCATTGAGAGCTTAACATATGCTAGGCACTATTCTAAGCACTTGTATTAATTCTTTTTTTTTTTTTTCCGAGACAGACTCTTGCTCTGTCACCCAGGCTGGAGTGCAGTGGTGCCATCTCGGCTCACTGCAACCTCCACCTGCCAGGTTCAAGCGATTCTCCTGCCTCAGCCTCCCGAATAGCTGGGATTACAGGTGTGCACCACCATGCCCAGCTAATCTTTGTATTTTTAGTAGAGATGGGGTTTCACCATGTTGGGTAGGCTGGTCTGTTCTACCTGCCTTGGCCTCCCAAAGTGCTGGGATTACAGGCATGAGCCACCACGCCTGGTCAGCAGTTGTATTAATTCATTTAAACCTAATATCCACCCTTTGAGATGGGTTCTCTTATCATCCTCATTTAATAGGTAAGGACAAAGGCTCAGAAAGGTTAAGAAGGTTGCATGGGTAGTAAGCACCAGAGGTAGGTAGTCTGATTCCAGTATTACTACTATACTATACCATCTTTACTAATATATCCCTAAGAGGAAATCCCTGAGACCCGGTATCTCCCAGATACTGGAACATCATCCTATGCCCTCCTGGTTGCCTACCTGTCTTTTCTGCAGACCTGTATCTACCATTTAAATCAGTGTCCCTTTGAATACCCAGACATGTTCTTTCTTCCAACTGCCTGAGCTACCCTACGCCAAGCATGAACTTACACATTTTCAATCAAGAAAGTACCCAAACAGTGCCATCCTTACCCAGGCCACGAGGCTGATCTCAGCTCCTCAGCCAGCTTCTCTTCTAGTCCATTTTTTGGGAGCTGGGCCTCCAGCTGGGATACTCTCTGGATGAGACTCTCCAGGTCCTTTTTGGCCTGAAGCCCTGGAGAGTAGAAAGCCCCAGTGCCATCAGACAGCCACCCCTCATCCTCATCAGGGACACTATGAGGTGAAGACCCCTCCAAGGTGCCAACAGCTCTCAGCTTCCAGGGTCTTTCCAGACTAGACGAATAATCACTTGTAACTGAGAGGGACCGGACCCGGCTCTTGAGGTTTTGAATGACCTTGTTGGCATTCTGCAGCTGGGCCTTCAGATCTTCGATGTCCTTTCGTAGGACCAAGATGTTTTCTGACTTTCCATATACCCGGAACTCTTCCTGCTTCCCTAGCTGGTTCTCCAAGGGCTTCCTCTCAGAGGAACTAGCCAGTGTTGAGCCCCGGCGTCCCTGCTCAGAGCACAGCCCCTCCATCAGGACCATTTCCTTGAGGCTGTTGTGCTCCTCACACTCTGAAAAAAGACAAAGATGTCTTCCTAAATAAAAGTTGGATGTGCTGTTGTGGCCACTGCCTTTGAGAGGAGGCAGGTTTGGTCATGAGGACAATAATTACTAGGGAAAAAGTTGAAGTAGTACTTTATTCAACCCTGACACTGTACTAGGCATTCAAATACAATATTTCTTATCTTCCTTATACCTACAAGTTAGGTTTCATCACTTTCTATTTTACTGACTGGGAAACCAAAACTTAAAGAGAGGTGGTAAACTAGCTTGTTCTAGATCACTCAAACTAGCACATGGCAGAGCCAGAATTCAAATCCTCCAATGTCCTGTGTTCATTCCACACACACTGGTGTTTCTTAAGACATTAACATGGCCTTATCTATTTAGGATGGCCACAAGAATGTAGGACAAGCTATTACTGCATGTTGAAAGTTTAATGCTCTTTAAATTTTACTATAATTTAAAAGTTTATTGGGTTACAACTGTATGAAAAATAGGCATAGGAAAATAAGGCTTCAAATAAATATATCAGCATGTTAACATCAGTGTATTACGGCAGTGGTAGTCAGACTGAGAACTAATCCATGGCATTTTACCAGATGCCAGGCACTGTTCTAAAGCATTTTATAAGAATTTACTCATTTAATTGACTTAGTACCTGATGGGGTAGGTAGTTCCTTTATTACTATTTTAACACATGAAGAAACTGGGACATAGGAAAGTTTTCAAACTGGGATTTGAACCAACCAGTCTGGCCCCAGGATCTTGTCTCTTAACTGCCACACTACACTGCCTCAAGAATGAGAGAGATTGTGTTTTTTTTCTCTTCTGGTTTTCAATGTGGTGGGTGGCCCTATAGTTGTAGTCTTTTTATAATGCAAAACAAAATTATTTTTAATTTATGGCTTGCATGTTTCTAAAACCTTATCTGGTCTCTAAGTAGGCCTTAGTATTTCTATAATAATCAGTTGGATAGAATTTTATATTATTATTGTTATTAGCAGTATGCCAAAAACTAATTGTAGAAATTCAAACTTATACTCAGCCTCATTTTGGGTAAGATTTCTCCTATTAACCTCCTGTCCTCCTCTTCCCCAATACTTGTCAGGTGTGGAATTGGCCAACAGCATCCAAATGTGACAGCTGACTCCAGGGAGGGGTGAGCCCCACACCCTGTGCTCTTACCAGGACTGGTGGTTTCCTCCCGTTCAGCCTCATTCTCGCTTCGGCCACAAGTCTCATAGCCCAGGTCCTGGAGGTCCACCTGGATCTGCTTGCTGTCCTGCTTCACCAAGGATTCACCTGCTTGGGAAGAGAAGCAGGTGTTACAGAATGTCTGAATTTCCCACATATGCCCTCAGCCTCAATGGCACATACCCTAACCTTTTGAGGCACGGAAGGCAGATCCACAGTGGGAGAGAAGCTTCTCTGAACTGGTGGGAGAAGAGATCACCAGCTCCAGGAAGCAGAATTTCTTTCCAAAGGAGGAGCCTGCATTTGCCATTATCTCCCCTTCAGATAACCCAGGCTTTAGTTGGGACCAGATATCTGTAAGTCAGGGATTGTACACTATCATCTCTAGCAGCCCCATTGAAGCTGGCAAGTGCTTTATCCGCAGGGGTTCAATAAATGTTGAATGGAGCTGAACTAATTTAGAGTCCCAAGACCCTAGACCTGTACTGTCCAATAAGGTAGTTAGCAGCCACATATGGCCACTTTATACTACATCAACTAAAATTAAATAAAACCAAATGTCCAAGTTGCACTAGCCACACTTCGTGTGCTCAATAACCACGTTATGTCGGTATAGAACATACAGAACTTATAAGACACATAGGCTAGTTTTCTTTACTAGTAAGTCATAGTTACTTACTAAGCATAACTCTGTATTTCTCCAGCTCGTTAGCCTGAGCAAAGACAGTGGCTTCTGATAGCAGCAGCTTCTCCTGGAGATCTTGATAGCGTTGTTTGCATTGTGACAGCTGGGAGCGCAGGTGCTGGGTGGACCCTGGTAGGCTAAACGCTGACTGAGGCCCAGGGTCACGAGGCTGGGACTGGTTATCCAACTGTGAAAGGGGCCAATACAGGGATCAGGACAGTCTGAGGTCACCCCCATGCAGTGACGACCACCGCCCCTTCTGAACCCTGTGGACTGTACTCAAGTCTGTCACAGCACTTCTCATGCCATTTGGCAGTGACTTGCTTTCCAGATGGAGCTCCTGGAGCGCTGGGATAATGTTTTCTTCATATCTGTATCCACAGCACACAGCACAGCACCAATCAGGTCTACAGAGGAGCTCTCAGGAAATGTTTTCTCAGTGGTCAAAAAGAGACCACTCATCTCCCCTCACATTCTGTCCCATTGATTCTCTCAGAATCCCTGTATTCTCCATTTCACTGAATCTTCAGCATGGCTCCTTCCCTAAAGAGGATCCCAGTAACCCATCTGAAGACCAGGAACAGACACCTGTGATGAGCTGTGACAAAAAAATGGCAGTGATAAGGGATGTCATTACATACCACTTGTCTGGGCTGCCTCATAACCTGATGCATCCCTATGTTACAGCAGTTACCACATCCTGTTAAAATTACCTGTTTGTGTGCCATCTTTCCCGACAATATTAAGTATCTCAGGGGCAGCCATTGGTTTTATTGCCCCATGCCAATGCCTAGTGTGTTATCTGAAAAATTAAGTACTCAAGAAATATTTATGTTATAAAAGCCTTTCTAAAGGCTGAATGTAGGCAGAATATTACTATTATTGTTTGTGGTACAAAGAGACCCTTCTCTTGGTACCTCCTGATTCATATGGGAGAATGTTTTAAGGTAAACACTGTCATCTCAAGCCCTTCTCCAATTGTTTTTCACTCAATCTAAGCCCACACTTACTTGGTGGGCATCCACTGTGAAGGTAGCCCCAAGGTCAAGGCTCTGGGGTCTGGGGAAAGGCCTCACAGTCACATTCCCCTCCTCTTGGTGTTGGTGCTTCCCAGGGGAACCAACCAGTTCTGTGTTTATTCTTTCGATGGTGCTGGTCAGATGCACAAGGAGCTCTGGAGTAAGTTTACTATTCCCTTCCTTGCTACTCAGCACAAGTTGTTCTTTGAGGAGGTTGATGATATTGTGGGCATTCTTCAGTTTTCCCTGGAGCTTTCTGAACTCAGCCTGAAGGCTACTCTCACTCAGACCCTCTTTGGTTACCACAGTCTCAACCATCACCTCGCCCTTCTCCTTGTCTTCCTCGATCTCCCATCCATCAGACATTGTTTCTCCCATCTGCTCTTTCAGCTCCGCATTCTCAAGGCAAAGGCTCAGCATGGTGTTCCTGCAGGAAACACACTTAATTGAGGGCTAGTTCTGGTCCTCACAACAGTTCCTAATACTACCTCTTACCAACATCTCAGCCCGCAATTAACTCAGACTTACCCCAGAGCATGAAGCAACCTGAGACCTACCACAGCCCCCTAATTTTATATACAAGAAAGCCAAGGCTCAGGAAAAGTAAGAGACTTGCCCAAACTTCCACAGCTTCTTGGTGGCAGCACCATCACTAGAAACCTTGGACTCAAGACATGCAGGCTAGTTTTCTTTACTTGTGCCCCATAGCCTCATATGTTCTAATTTTTAGTAGCCTCTGGAATAAACCAGAGTACTTACACTGTTAAAAAATAAGACCTTTTCTGTAACAAATTTATTGTTATAAATTTTACAGTTCTATTATTTATCATCAGTCAGTTTCAAACCATTGGGACTTAGGAACACAGAATAAATAAATAACACTAATCAGAACTATTAATATAATCAAAATGTACTTAGATAATTGTTTGCTTTATGTCTGGCTCACGTGATGGAGATAACCTTCTTGAGAGCAGGACTGTGTCTGTCCTATTCATCCCATATCCCCAGTGCCTACACAAGTGCCTGCCACATAAATCATTCATATTTGTTGAAGAAATAAAATTGACCAAAACAGCTAATTTGCACCAAGACATTCCAGATAAATTCTTTCCACAACAACAAACTCATACTAGGGTTGAGTGGAAGCAAACATGGCTGTAACAAGTCTATTCACTTAACTTTTTTGAGCCTCAGTTTCCTTTTATATAAAATAAGGATGATAACACTTACCTAGTAGAGTTAGCAGATGCTTAAATGAAATTGCATATACGGTATGGCTAGCTCAGGGTCTAACAGGGAAGTCATTCAATCCCTGCTGTACTAGCTGCAGACCTGAGAAATACCAACACCAGAATCCCATAAGGTGCTTGTTTAAAAAGCTGTAGAGCTAAGGCCTATGAATCCACATTTTACTTAAGTTCCACAGGTGATTTTTTAATTTTTATTTATTGTTTTTTTTTTTTTTTTTTTTTTGAGACAGAGTCTCACTCTGTCACCCAGGCTGGAGTGCAGTGGTGAGATCTTGGCTCACTGCAACCTCCACCCCTGGGTTCAAGCAATTCTGCTGCCTCAGCCTCCCGAGTAGCTGGGACTACAGGCACGTGCCACCACGCCCAGCTAACTTTTGTATTTTTAGCAGTGAAGGGGTTTCACCATGTTGGGCAGGCTGGTCTCGAACTCCTGACCTCAGGTGATCCGCCTGCCTTGGCCTCCCAAAATGTTGAGATTACAGGCATGAGCCACCACGCCCAGTCCACAGGTGATTCTTAAGCATGCTAAACTGAGAACCCCTGAGCTAGAGGATGCACAGGAAATGGGTAATTCACAAATTGAAGGATCAGCAGTGGGCTATGCACCTAGATTGAATTTCTCAGAATCCAGGAGTCTTGGAACCTACAGCAGAGCTTGTCTGGTGTGTTTCTGGGAGGAAAATAGGACATAGGATACAGACAATCTATGAGATAGTTTCTCAATAAAGAAAAAGGGGATAGGTATTTTACCAAAACTGGGATGTGGAAAGGGGATAAAGAGGGCGCATGTGTATATGGAAAAGAATATTTAATATTATGTTCTAACTTCATATTAAAAAAAACTGATATTTTTAAATACAAACAAATAAAAGAAAAACTCAACAAAACCTTCTTGAAAGGAAGAACAATGCATTAGATTCTACCTTCTACAGTATAAGTGATTCTGTAGGTTGGGTGGAGGGTTGAACAAATCAGAGTCTCAGGTTAGTAACTCTGAGGACAAAGGAAAATAATCCACAGGGATAGCTATAGATGGTTTGATTGTAGGTTCAACAATAGAATCAAAAGAGATGTACTGTTCTTACCCATGACAACTCAATTAAGTTTACACATACAAAAATTTAAGTAAAATAATATGCTTTAAGTAGAACTTAAGGAAAAAGTTATTATGATAATTCAGAGCAAAAGAATCAGCACTTAGAACAATCACAAGAATTTTTTAAAAATTGTTTGACAAAGTATGTAGTATAGAAGCAAGGTTTAGATGTTAGAAATTGGGAGCCACAGACTATTATGCAACCTTGAGCAAGTCACTTGAAACTTTCTAGGCCTGAGTTTCCTCAGCTATGAAACAACGACATGAGGCTAGATGCCTGGGCCCTTTTCAAAGTGCTAACATTATTCAGGGAAATTTAAGTGGTAAGTAACATGCAGGGAAAAAACAGGGCATGATTTAGAAGTCATACAGCTGTACTTTAAACAGGCAGTGATGATTATAGTCCTGGGAGTGAATGAATAAATGGATCAGCCCTACAGTATCAGCATGTTCTCCAAGGAGCTTTTGACAAAAAGCCATCAAAGACAGAGTGGCCAATCTAACCAATCAATGAGCTACCTGCTATTTTTGTAAAATTACTAAAGCAGCAGAGATGATTAAAATTGATACTCTATGATTGAAGGACTTATGAGTGAGAGCTGAGAGGAGAGGGAGGGGCCTCTACACAAACCCTCCAGCCGGGTGCGGTGGCTCACTCCTGTAATCCCAGCACTTTGGGAGGCTGAGGTGGGGGGATCACGAGTTCAGGAGATTGAGACCATCCTGGCTAACATGGTGAAACCCCGTCTCTACTAAAAATACAAAAAGAAAAAATTAGACGGGCGTGGTGGCGGGCTCCCATAGTCCCAGCTACTCGGCAGGCTGAGGCAGGAGAATGGCATGAACCCGAGAGGCGGAGCTTGCAGTCAGTGAGCCAAGATCTTGCCACTGCACTCCAGCCTGGGCGACAGAGCGAGATTCTATCTCAACGAAAAAAAAAAAAAAAATTCCTCCTCCTTCGTGAACTGTTCTGGTTCTGTATACAGCAGTGAGACATATTAGGTAGCAGGGATTCCTTATACGTTTTGGTCAATTAAAAACAGCAATACTGGTCATGTAACAAGGAGGTTTCCACCATGACTGTCATATGTATGACTGGCAGATGCACAATAATAGTGGGCACTGTTATACTGAATTAAGACCAGGATTATTTGAATAACAGAAAGTGATTACCATTAGCCAATATTACTTACTTTTATCTAAAGAATTTGTAGAAATATTAATGCATGGAGCCTGGGATAGGCACCCCTTGGCTGTGGTGCCTCATGACCCGCAAGCTCCCCTTCCCTGGGAAGAATGTTCTACCTGATGTGGGACACTGAGGAGAATCCTGCTTCCTCAATTTGAGCCTTTAGCTCCTTCAGTTCCTCCTCAGCTTTCCTCTTCTCTTCTAAGTGCTGGTGGATCTCAGCCCTCAGGTGGAGCATTTCTTCCTGAAGACACCTGTTACTGTCCCCTCCCATCGGAGAAGGAGGGGAAAAAGATGGGTTCTGGGTCTCCACAGTTGCCAGACTTTTCTCCAAAGCCACCTTGACAAGCTAAAAGAAAATCATGGTTTGAAGAAGTTAGGCCATTAAAGAGGACCCAAGAGAAACATGAGATTGCAAAGGCAGTTTTCAATGAGAACAAAAACAAACAAAAAAAGCAGATCTAAAATAAACTCCCTAACCAGAACCTCCTTAGTCAGGCATAAGGGCCCTGGGGACTGGTTTGGGTGGGAAGGACACACAAAATGAGCAGGAGGAATTTCCCCATGGAGAAGAGGAGAATCCAGAGATGGTGAGGGAGAAAAGCACATAAGAAATTAAAACAAATGCAAACAAACGAGGTTGAAACAGGACTGGAGGGTGTGAATACGGTGATTCTTTCTCTTCCTGAGGAGACAGAGCCCTGCGAGTTTTCTCACAAGTCAGGAAGCTTCATCAGCTCTGCAACACTTGAGTCCTGGATGGCGGGAGATGATGGCTTAAGATATCAGGGCGCAAAGCCTAAGGCCCTGCCTGTAACTCCAACTCCCTCAAGGACAGCTGAGAGGGAGGACTCAGGGCACTGGGGAAACAGTCGGCAGACACAGTTACAGAATTAGAATAAGGTGGAGCGACAGGGAAGACAACACCAACTATTTCATTGGCAGCAGAAGAATCACACTCCGCAGCTACTGGGAGATGGAGATGAAGCCATCCTGCCAAGCAGCCAACCTCACTTTTTGGTTATTATCTTTGTGCTGATGCTGCCAGACAAACTCTCTCTACAAATCTCAGCATGTGGAAGAAACAGAGGCAGGAACAACTGCCCAGCACCTTTCTATTTCTTGAGGACACTCTTGAAGTTATTCATCAATGTTTTAATTAAAGCAGATCTTATGGCCTTTGCTCAAATGGGAATTTGTTAACTTTTAGACTTTGTTATTGTTCATTTTGGGCTTATCTTTGGTCTTTTCCCACGCTCTTAAAAGTGTAGAAATCAAAATCTGAGTATGATAATCTACTTAGCATATGACTAATTACTTTAGTACAAGGAGTTCCTGCCTGTCTGTCCAATATTAATCTTAATATGTCCCAATGTCACATTGGCTTCTTTTTCTTCTCAGTGGCAGCATTTGGAGCTTTTACTTAACTTTGGGTCAATTTTGGCCTCTGAATTTTCCACCCCTCCCCCACAGCTGTTGCTGAGTCATGTTGTTTTCTTTTATCTCTACAAATATTGTGACTTGTAATTGTCACTTATAAATTCATTCTGGCTATACTGAATCATTCCCCAATTATCCGAGTCATCCAAATATTTGATGTGCATTTCCACAAATCATGTACTGGCCCCCACTACAAGTGATTGGGGATAACTTGTAGAATTAATTATATGCTTTATATCTCCATTCAGGTCACCAATACATTGAAGAGAGCAGGGCCCAGAACAGCTTATATGGATCAACGACTGACAGAGCTGCTGGGGTTGGTGCAAAGCCACTGACTTTTGCTATTACCCATAACAAAGTATGTTCAAATGTAGGTCACAGGTTTGTGGTAGGGTCGATTCACAGTATGCATGTGCAATGGTGTTCAGTAGCATAGCAGTTGAGGTTGTGAAGACATGCGCACCCAGGTCAAAGAAGAAAGATCCTTAGACAAAGCCACTCAAGTCCCAGGCACCCAATCTTACTTGGACTTTGTGAGCCTGAGATTTGGGAGGCTCCTGGGAATGTCTGTCTCTAAGATTCTGCTGGCAGGCTTAATCAGGCTGGTGGCCATCTCCATATGTGCCCCCCAGCATTTGTGACAAAATAAAGGAAGGGGGACCAAATAAAACCACTTCTGAAAGCTTACGATCCCATCCCTTATTTAAACTATGTGATGTTGTCATTCTATATAAACTCTTTCCGAGTAACTTAACTAAAACACACTTTGCCATTAGTCTTGAGTGTGGGCACAGCATTATTCTTTTCTAGGCCTTAAGGGTTCCTTCTGCTTAAAAATAATGTCTAACTTTAATGAAGTTTACCCATTATTAAAGTGCCTTCTGGATATATGTTATCTTGTTCTATTGGTTTCAATACACCTATTTTCTTTAAAAAGAAAAAATTATGAACCATGAATGTTAACACCAGAAAAACCTTAAGGTACATCTGATCTAATTTCCCACTTTAAAGTGAGAAAATCAAACATTGCCTAGGGATCTCATTTTTCCCCAGGCTAATTTGGGTTTTCATATTTCCATCTCAAAGTGGACTTTCTTTGGCTAACTTTAAGGTTTTTTTTTTTTTTACATATATACAACTTTTATTTTTTATTTCTTTTTTTATTTTTTATTTTTTTATTTTATTATTATTATACTTTAAGTTTTAGGGTACATGTGCATAATGTGCAGCACAGCATGGCACATGTATACATATGTAACTTTAAGTTTTAAATGTAAATGCCTGAAAAGTAACTCAGGATCTAGCCTTTTCATTAGTTTTGATCATGTATGAAAGCAAGTATTTATTTCCCCCAAATGAAACCCCAGGGCTTCCAGTATTTGTAGTGATAGTGTGAATCCATTAGGTCTATTTTTAATTATATCTGTCTTATTGGTTTTTTTTTCCACATTTCCTAACTCACTTGTGATATTGCTTCATATAATTCAACTTTTTGTGTGCTGGGTTCCCATCTGCCCCACAAAGGCCTCTGTGCAAATCTGATATCTTGTTTGAATGACATTGTTTTGCTTTTACCCTATTGCTTCGTATCTGTCCCAATGTTAAGTCAGTTCTCAACATTAAGGCATTAAAAATTAGCTTTTCTCAAATGCTCAGCATCACTAATCATTAGGGAAATGCAAATTACAACCATAATGAATATCATCTCACACCTGTTGGAGTGGCATTTATCAAAAAGGTGAATGATATGTTAGAGATAATGCAGAGGAAACGGAACACAGACATTGTGAATAGGTATGTAAATTAGTACAGCTGGTGTGGAAAACAGTATGGAGTTTCCTCAAAAACCTAAAAATAGAATCTACCCTATGATCCAGTAATCCCATTTCTGGGTATATATCCAAGGGAACTGAAATGAATATGTTAAAGGTATATCTGCACTCTCATGTTCATTACAGCATTATTCATAATTTATGTTAAGATGTAGAGCCAACCTAGGTCCATCAGTAGATAAATGGGTAAAGAAAATGTGGCAGATAATACACAATGGAATACTATTTAACCTTAAAATGTTGGGGGAGAGCTCCTGTCATTTGTGACAACATGAATGAATCTGAAGGTCATTATGCTTAGTGAAATAAGCCAGGCACACATACCACATAGGCTCACCTATATGTGGAATCTAATGAAGTTGAACTCATAGAAGCAAAGAGTAGAATGGTGGTTACTAGAGGCTGGTGGAGTGGGGAGGGAGAGTAGGGGGAATTGTTGATCAAAAGTATTGACAAAAAGAATAGGTCTTAAGATATATTGCATAGCAGGGTGACTATAGCCAATAAAATGTATATTTCAAAATAAGAGTAAATTTTCAATGTTTCACCATCAAAAATGGTAGGTAGGCAAGTTTATGAATATGTAATTAGCTTGGTTTAATCATTCCATATTGTGTGTATATATATATATAATCATATACCCCATAAATGTATACAATTACGATTTGTCAATCAAAAATAACTATTTTTTTAAAATAGCTTTTTTCAAGTTTATCACACTTTGTCTACTAACGTCTGTTCTTCATATTTGAATCTTGATTTTTTTTCTTTAAGAGGTAGGGGTCTCATTATGTTGCCCAGGCTGGCCCTGAACTCCTGGGCTCAAGAGATTCTCTTGCCTCAGCCTCCTGAGTAGCTGCAACTATAGATGCACACTACCTGGGCCTGAATCTTTATTCTTGATTAACTTTTTCTCCATTACAAAACTTCACATAAAAAATGCAATGGTTGGTTACTCTAGTTTCTTTCACAGCAATTTCATAGGTATTTATTATAGATCTTACATCTGCTTGAGAATAGAATTTTGTGGGAGATAATCTAGGGAAAATTACTATCATGGCCAGACTTGAGGCTTCCTGAGGTGGCTGAGTCCAAAACATAAGGAGCAAGCAACTTGTATTGGCCAAAAGGTGATTCTCACCTTGGAAGAAAGACAAGGTGGGATGTGTCTGTTAGGAAAAGCATATGAATGCTTGGAGTAGGAAGGGAACTTGGTGTCAGGCAAAAATTTACCTTCCAAGGACATAACAAGGAGAAGCTCAAAATCTACCTTTAAGGGACCATTTTCCTGGAAACAAGCAAACAAATTTTGAGAATCTGGACACAAAACAGTTATGGCAAAGTAAGCTTTATTTAATTGGTAGCAGGAGAGTCACAACTTCAAACTCCAGAAAAGATGAAGTAAATTTGCAATGATTTCATACACCAAGATTCCTCCTACCCAAAGCTGAAGATATATTTTCAAGGAAAGGTGATGGAAAGAAAAATGGTGCTCGCCCAAGAGATTCTTCCATCCAGCAGGCATATACTTTGTCTATCATGAGTCAAGCCCTGATCCAAAGGCTTGTTAACTCATAATTACACTAAGCATCTCTCCTATGCCAAGTAATGTGGCAAGTATTGTGAGGGAAATACAAATGCCCTAATGTAAAAAGTTCATTCCAGTGTAGGCTGACCTTCTCAAAATGGGGTCTGGTCAGATTCTCCATGCTAGGCTACAGGAAAGAAGGCTGAAGAAGCAAATTTACAAATCAGTTTGCCTACAATTGAGAATTAGAGCAAATGACTTGCAATACCAGGAGTACTTCAGACCATATCAATCAGAAACTTTCTTCATATCTGTGTCTCCTGTTCATTTATTCTGAAGTTAATCCTGTCCCACAGTCATTATAACCATCAGTGACCAGCCAACCTCCCAATCTAGCTGTCTTAGAGTAGACATTTGTTCATCCTGCAGGTCCCTCTCTCTCACCCAAGATCCTCAATGAAATCAGAGAGTGAGGACAGAGGGATCTGTCTGGAGGGACAGAGATGTATATAATTAAAGTCACAACCATCGGTAAGGAGGACTCAGGAGAAGCTGTTCAAGCAAAAGGAAAAGTGGAGCTCATGCAAGCACTCAAGGGAGAAGGGAAGGTCGGGTACAGCTATAGCAACAAGAAGGTGATCCTATTATAAGAAGGTGATCCTACTACTACAAAGAAACTGTTGAGAATATGACGTATCCCAGACAACTACTCATGTCCCCAAGTGCCAAATCCCAAAAGATTTGAGGATGCTTATTTGGGCTCTTCTTATTGGTTGATTCGATGTCTCTTCTTTTTCTTATGCAGAAGACATACAGGCAGACCCAGAAAGCCTCATTTCTTGTTTAATTTTCCTAATAGCCCCAAGAAAGCTATTACTGGAAAGTCCAGCTGCTTGTGCAGGATATCTACCAATGATTCACTTTCTCCTTAAGAATCATAGGCACAGTCCATTTAGGAGATGAGATTGCTAAATGGCATGGACAAAGTGGAGACATTATAGGAGTTCCGGTGAGTACTTGTGAGATCACTATTGGTGACTTAATCTCTGAAGTCCAGATTATTCACTCTTGTAACATGCTAGTTACATCTTCACTGATGGTGGGTGGAAGCAATGTTTCAGCCTCAAGTTCTGAGGTTTGACAGGGGATTGCTGTTGAAGTACCATCTGCTGATCACTGAGTCACCATGACCTCAGTGGTTTGTCAGGTTGCATAAGGTTCTCTTTGTATAATGAGATTTCACTGAGAAAGATTCTTGCTTTGGAAGCATTCCAATCTTCTTGGAGTTTCTTCCCAAGCAGTTCCTCCGCCCTGCCACCTCCCCGAGCAGCCCTTCGATGACTCCCTGTCTTCTGTGGTGCATTTCAGTTACAAAAAGCCCAAGGGGAATGTGTCCATCGTCTTGCAAGTAAAAATGCTTCTGAAGCTATAGCTACAGAGAATAAATAGGGGCAAAGGTGGGTAGGAGGGGGAAGGAAGCAGAAGAAAGAGATACAATACAAACCAAAGGGTGGATTGGAGAGAAAAATGGAGTGAAGATATGGGTTGGAAAGGCAGCTGGGAAGTTCAAGGAGAACAGGAAGATGACTGAGAAGTAGTTTATGTAAAAAGATATCTTCTCACTAAGTCCGCAAGGGCTGCAGGAGACTATCAGACCTCAGAAGGGCTGTGTGCTGTCCACCCTGGAAGTCCCAGACCCTGACACTGACTTACTTGCTGGTGACTATGGTGTGCAGCCTCCTCCTCAATACTGTCAGTGAACTCAGTGCTTGTATCTTCGGTGTCATCCCCTGCAGCTGCACCTGGAAACAAGTCCAGAAAAGAAAAGTGATTCCCTTCACAGATGGCTTCCAGACAGCAGGTTAAATTATACTCTTTTTGCCCGCTGACTCTGATTTCTTCCTTTCTCCATATACATGGGGAAGAAATTCTCCCTAGCCAGCAGGGCTGGAAAGAAAAATAGAACTTTTTGTATCACAGACACTTTCTTACTCATACTCAAGCCTGAGCCTCACAACATAAGCTGACTTTGCCTGCACAGACCCATTTCTAAGGAGCCGACTGTCAGATGCACTGGTTACCCCACTCGAATGTCAAGAAAGCCTGAATTATTCCCCACTGCCTGGCTACATAAAAACTTTCTCTTCCATAATATGAGTCCAACATGCTTAACCCTTTCCCCACCACTGAGTGCCTGGAGATTAGAGCTGCCCTGAATCTCTCAGAGGTATCTATTGTTGGGATCAGTTGTGCATAGGGTGACAATCTCTCTGAGGAACTTCCCTCTGGGGGTCCTGTGTCCTAGTAAGGTTCAGGTCTAGTCAAGATTCAAGACACCAAAGGATTCAGTTGTTCCCTAATTTCTTCCTCTAACCTCCCTTCCTCCTCACCTCTCTCAAACTCTTATTCTATGCAGACACCCTTTGTCTGAAGGGTTTCTTGCACTGCTTTATCCCCGTGGGATTTAACCCATCCTTTCATTCTCCAGAGATGGACACAGCCACTCTAGGGCCCAAACATCTACACCTTGCTCTAAGGTACAAGTAGCTGCAGTTTGTGGTATGGGCAAAGGTCTAAGGCAGCACTGACCAAGAGGACTTTCTGCAATGACAGCAATGTTCTGTGCCAGTGTTGCCCAGTACAGTGGACACAGTCATATATGGCTATTGAGCTTTGAAATGTGGGTAGTATGGCTCACATTTCAAAGCATTGAATCTTAAATTTTATTTAAATTTACTTATATTTAAATGACTGCATGTGGCTAGTGGCTACCCTATTGGACAGCACAAATCTAGGGTGTGTCTTCCTCCTTATATTGATTAAAATTAAGACTGTTCATACATTTTAAGACCAAGAGCTATGTTTTATATACTGTATTTTTCAGGAAGTGTAGAAATTTATTATGGTTAATTTGTCAAAGAAAATTTACTGTGACACTCACTGTGTCTTATAGAACCTCCCCAACTTAAGAATCTTGAAATCTTGTTCTGATCCTAGCCTCGGCAACCAACCAGTTACAACTCCACTTCTGACCACTGATTAACCTGGACCTCTAAGAGATTACGTGGTGAGTCCAAGGTTACACAACTAGCCCTCACTAGAGCTGCGCCAGTAAGTCAAGACTCTGGACTCTTAGACAGAAGCCACTCACTTTTCCTTCTGGTGACAAATCAGATCTTTATCTTTGCTTCTTCCTCCAAGACCAAAGAACCTTCTGTTGAGTTCAGACATCCAGGCATGAAAGGCTCTGCTTGAATCATGAGCATTCACTACCCAATACAGATAAGGTGCTTACCTTATCTCCGTAAGGAATTCGACGGAGACAAATAAATGCTCATCTCATCTCGACACTCTGCCACACAGGGGTTTTGTTTCTTCCCCTTCATTCTCTCTTTTTTAAGCTAGCTCACAGTCTTCTTCCATTATGGCAGCTTTAAGGGTTGCTCAGCCTTTTACCAATTTGAATTAAAATGCTGAAACTTTTTCTCCCATGTTTGAGGGGTAAAGCTAAAAAATTTATAGAAAATATGGGAATAAAAGAGTAAGTTATCTCATACAAGGTCCATACAAGACATTAGACATCTTTTACCATTTTCCATTTTTTTAAATAAATGAGAGAACTTCTCTTGTGTGATACCCTTTTCTAAACTTTTACTGCACAACGAAACACTGTCTTCAGAACTAACTTGGAATATTTTGAATTTCTAATTTAAGGTACCTATGATTTTATATTGATGACTCGTCTGCTTATTTTTTGATAAAATATAAAATAGCCTGCCGCCTTTAGATTCTCTGGGAGCTAAGAATCTGTTCATTTAACTTGCTTCTTCGAGATTAAGTTTTACATGTTAGACTGGCAATTTTATAAAAAACTTTTATTTGAGGCTTCAATAAAAGTTCTCAACTTGTGGTTCTTGGAAGTTTCTAGGCTCTGAACAATACAAAATGGAGGTGATACCAAGATGTCCCTTATTTAGAAAAGTATTTTCTATCAGCTATCTAATTCTACAAAGTACACAAAAATAAACCTCTAAAACATAAGACCATAAAATCCTTGGGTGAAAATGTAAGCGTTATGCAAATATAAGGTATTCTTATCACTGAAGCAAAAATTCATACTTTTGTAGAACTTTTTAAATTGAGTATGGCATAATAATTAAGAACAAGAACTATGGAGATAGACTGTCTTGATTTGAATTGTGCTTTTATTGTTAGTTATGTCACTTCAGGCAAGTCATAACCTTTCCATAACTAAGTTTCTTCATTTAATAATTAGGGTTAAGAGTGTTACCCACTCCATACTGTTGTGAACTTTAAAGGGTTTGCTGATTTTGAAGTGCTTAGAACAGTGCTTGGTACACAGTGTGTACTCAATAAATACCATCCTTAAACAATATTATTATTGTTATTGTAAGTAAACTGAAGTAGTCCATGGGCTTATAAGTTGAAGACTGAGAAAGTTGAAGGCCACAGAACCTAAATAGCATCAGCAGAAGGAAGTTTTATACTTGATGGTAACAGGATTTATCCTGCTATCAATTTACTCTTGCTGGAGGTTGACAGAAGTAGGAGTGATTATTAACATAAACTGTAATCACTATGAGCCATTAGAAACGAAGAATCACCCAGAGCTGAATCTTACTAGCGATTCAGAAGATGGTTACCATTAGCAGAAGCAAGAAGAGATGAAGTTTTTATGTAAGTAAAACTTCACCTAACAGATGAAAAAATGATAGCATTAGGATATCTCCATTTTGCAACCCTTAATGAATTAAGGGATAAGGCATCAAACAGCAACAGCTGCTAACATCACGAGAGATCACCAAACATTACATGACTCCTGATGGAAGAACACGCCACCACCTGTGAAGAAATACTGCCAAAAGTTGGCACTACATGCCCTAAACTTTCAGTGTTCTCATCAGAAAATGACAAGTACTTGGTTATGACAAACTTCATTAAAAATCATAATAGGCCAGGCGTGGTAGCTCACACCTGTAATCCCAGCACTTTGGGAGGCTGAGGTGGGCGGATCATGAGGTCAGGAGTTCGAGACCAGCCTGACCAACATGGTGAAACCCATCTCTACTAAAAATACAAAAACTAGCCGAGCGTGGTGGTGTGTGTCTGTAATCCTAGCTACTCAGGAGGCTGAGGCAAGAGAATCGCTTGAACCCAGGAGGCAGAGGTTGCAATGAGCCAAGATCGTGCCACTGCACTCCAGCCTGGCAACAGAGCGAGACTCCATCTCAAAAAAAAAATCATGATAACAACCATAGCTGCTAACACTTACTATGCCCTGGGCTCTCTAATAAATGCTTTGTATAGATTTAATCCTTTTAACAAACCTAGTGATCTGGCTCCTGCCTACTTTTCCTACTTTAATATCTGCCATTTTACTGCTCACTCATGACTCTGTAGGCACATTAGACTTTTTCTGTTCCAGGAACACCAGACTTTCTCTTGACTTGGCCTTTACAACTACTCCCTTTGCCTGAAATATCTTTCTCAGGGCTGCCTCCTTTTCATCCTTAGGTCCCAGCTTACGTGTCATCTGCTCAGAGAAGCCTTCTTTGGCCACCCTATTTAAGATGGTCTCCATCCATGTTGCTTTCTATCATTTCCCTCATATCACTTACTATACTCTATAACTATAATGTTTATTTATTTATTGTCTGTATCTCCCCAGTAGAAATTAACTACACAGAGCCACAGACCTTACTGATTTCATTCACTACCTACCTCATCCCCAGCACTAGCCCAAGCTTAGAGAAGGTCCCCATATAGCTAATGAATGAATGAGTGAATCCTCACAACAATCCTATGAGATAACTACTCTTTTATTTATACATAAGGTGACTTCTTCTACTCTTCAACTTACAGACAAGGTGATCTGAGTCTGAGAGAAATTAAGGAACTTGTTCAAAAATCACAGGGCTGGCTAGTAAGTGGTAAATCCAGAATGTGAACTCAGGGAAGCTGACTCAGAGCCACTAGGCTATAATATCTTTCCTGTAGATACCACATATCCATACAATCTTTATGGTAAGACAAGTTATTTTAAATAAACCCTTTAAAGGAATTTAGCAATAGCTAAATATCACCCAAAATACCCATTCATAGGCATTACAATTTCATGATCCTGAAAACAGGACAGAACCAAAAAGTAACATTACTCTGGATTTGATAAATGTGAGAAAAACAGGAAGAGGATGTGGAAACTAAAATATCTGACATGAATAATCAGATAACGGCTAAGGTAGAACCACAAAAAGGAAGGGGGACTAGGGGATTTTTAAAACTGGTATTTCTTAAATGCCACACATTCTCATATCCTGAAAACTAATTGAGTCATAAAACATGAGTCTGTTTGTAAGCAGAAATATGACAATGAAATCAAAAGATAAAATATGATAATTCTGTCACAAATACAAACACAGGTTTTATATTATAGATCTAGCTATGGCAAAAGGTAGAAAAAAACTAAGGAGCTATTTGGACTAGCTAGCTAAACTGAATTTAGGAAGCCATGACATTGAGTGATCTTCTAAAAGAGATGCCAACATAGTAACAAACAAGCTTTTAGTTTCAGTCTGTAACTCTGCGCTGTGGTCCTAGTATTTCTTCAACATCATAGTTGAATATGCAACTAGCTGTGGAGGAAAGGCAGGGGGAAGGGAATCTCTAAGGCTGAAAGGCCTCTTCCAAAAAAAATTGATGAGAACTCTATGCTAGAGAGAGTTAAAGCATAAGGTGGGAAAAATGTGCTCTAGGAAATGAATCTTCTTAGGAAGTATGTGAAGTCACAAAAGGCTTGAGTTTGAATCATAGCTCTGGCATTTATTAGTTACATGACTATTCTCCACTCCCATTTTAAAAGAGAAATCAGTGTTTCAGCTTCTTCGTCTATAATAATTGGGCCGACACCACTTACTTTGTGTAGAGTTGTGAGCATTAGTGCTAATTTAAATACCTAGCACAGTACATTGCACATGAATACTTGATAAACACTGATTATACTCAAATTTCTCGTTTCATGTTTCTAAATCTAATTTCACGGATCTAATGTCATAACTCTAAGCAGCAATCACACAGCGCTTCCTTTTTTCACCAGTGCTTTACAATTATTATTATTATTGTTGTTGTTGTTGTTATTATCTTGGAGGCGGAGTTTTGCTCTTGTTGCCCAGGCTGGAGTGTGATGGCACGATCTCAGCTCACTGCAACCTCTGCCTCCCGGGTTCAAGTGATTCTCCTGCCTGAGGCTCCCGAGTAGCTGGGATTACAGGCGCCCGCCACTACACCTGGCTAATTTTTGTATTTTTAGTAAAGACAGGGTTTCATCATATTGGCCAGGCTGGTCTCGAACTCCTGTTCGAGCGGATCAAGTGATCCGCCCACCTCGGCCTCCCAAAGTGCTGTGATTACAGGCATGAGCCACTGCACCCGGCCTTTACAATTATTTTATTCCAGTTAGCAATGGGGAGAGAGGGTTACGTTTTTCCAGCATTTAATAAGTTTTAATGGTCCCAATCTAAAAACAGGAGCATCTTTTTGAGATAATGTATATATAAAATAACTTATATTTTTCTCCAAAAAGAAAAAAGTCATACCTGGCATTTGGACTCAGATATTATACATGGAGAATTATATGCTTTTAAATATAAACTATTTTGAAAGAAAAAAATAATAGGGATTTTGGAATTAAGACTTAACTAAAAAACTCACCTGACTTTCTCTTTCTTTTTTAGCCATGAGTTCAAGTTCCTCTTTGGCATTACTCAGTTCTTTTTCCAGCCCTGCAACTGTGTCCAAGTCTCCTAAAATGAAAATATAGCACTAGTTTTAATTGCTATTAACATAATGTGGTATCTGCTGCCTCCTTTGAGTAATTTACAGAGGACACATTCCAATAATAAGAAAAAAGAAAACATACACACAGGTTGTTCTTTATAGCATTATTTATAATAGCAAAATACTGCAATCATCCTAGATGCTATAAAGAAAAGATTGAATAAACTATAGTATATTCACAGATGGCACTATATACTGATGTAAAAAAAGAATAAGGATGATCTTTATGAATTTATATGGAGTGATTTTGAGATTTTAAGAATATGTTAAGTAAAAACAAGCTATGTGCTTAAGAATACATCTAAAGTAGTAGGTTTTCTATTAGGAAAAAGGGGAAATAAGAATGTACATATATACATTACATATATGCAGATGATTCATTTGCTTATTTTTGCAAAAAGATATACAGGAAGAATAACCCAGAAATGAAACTGATTACCTGCAGGAGATGAGTGGAAACAGGAGAGAAGGAACAGGAAAATATTGGACATCTGAGTATATCATTTTATATACTAGAGTTTTGAACTGTGTAAATGTTTAATTTTTAATGTGTAAGTCAGTTTGACAATGAATGAGAGAGAAAAGGTCTAAAATTGAATACTAATATAAATAAATAAATCTATATAGCAAATAGATAACAAAACCATCCAGAAGATAATAAAAAAATTAATCCAAATAATTTTTGAACTCACTACTACTCTAACTGAACACTGTCAGTGCAAAATATCCTAAGGATAAAAAGAATTACAAAAAAATCTTAAACATTACTTAATACATTTATTGTTGATGGTGGTATTTATGTAACAATTCCAAAAATACTTTTGCATATTATAGTATTCTGCAACTGTGTAAATATTTTGAAATATATTGATGCTATAAGTAACCAGGGCTCTCAAGGAGATACAAATATGAAATGAGGGAAAAAAGAACCTATATTGTTAAATTGGAATTAAGGAAATCAGTATCAAATCTTCACATGTATACAAATACACACATACATACTTAAAAATATTCATTGCTAGTTCTGTTCTCTTAAAAGGGCCTAGAAGCGGCTGGGCGCAGTGGCTCACATCTGTAATCTCAGTACTTTGGGAGGCCAAGGAGGGCGGATCACGAGGTCAGGAGATTGAGACCATCCTGGCTAACACGGTGAAACCCCGTCTCTACTAAAAATACAAAAAAATTAGCTGGGTGTGGTGGCTGGCGCTGTAGTCCCAGCTACTCGAGAGGTGAGCAGAGAGATCGTGCCACTGCACTCCCACCTGGGTGACAGAGCGAGACTCCGTCTCAAAAAAAAAAAAGGTCCTAGAAGCAAAAGGCATTCATGTAGCAATGAACACATCTTGTGTCCAGATCATAGTTTCTGAATGCCATTACCCACCAAAAGGAACCAGGGAGCTCTTTAGGATAATGGCTGATTCTGGGACTGAGGCAGGTAAAGCAAAAGGTAATCATAGAACATCTTATTGTGCCAGAAACTATCAAACTATGCTAACATTATATATATATATAACATTAGTAGGTGATGTCAAGTTACAGTGAGTGGCCCCAGACTTGAAACGATACCCAGGAAAAGGTGTCAGCTCATGGCCCTGCTGTGCAGGATTGGAACAATTACCTCCTGCATTTCTGAATCCCTGCAAAGCTATCTGAAAAGGAGAGTAAGGATAGAATTTCTCTGGGCCGAATTGTGAACCCAGAGCAATAACCTCAACTCAACATAAGGTAAGGACAGTTCTTCAGCCTTTCAGAGGAATTCCAAACTTATTTGTTCTATTAAGGTAGGAAGAGAAAAGAGTCTTGGCCAAACCTATAATACAGAGATTACTAGAAGAAAAAACAAGAGAAAAACAAAGTCCCTTAATGAAATGAAATTTGATACTTACCTAATGTGGATCTGGGTATGCTGACATCCTCTTTGGCAGTCAATGAAGTGCTATCATCTCTGGAAGGTATCTGCATTGAACCCTAAAAAATTGCAAAAGTCAGGGGACTTAGGAAGATGCAGGAACTATGATCACAATGACAGTACTGAGAATATTCTCAGAATTTGGTATTAAAATTATCAAACTTACACCTCAAATGTAAAAAGGAAATGGAATCAGCATGAATTATGTAAGTCTATAGTTCTTACTTGATCAGTCTGTTTTCCAAGACGGCCAGTGGGGGTAACTTCAGCTTGTTGGTTAGAGATGGGTGCTTGGGACATCAGGGAGTCTCTCCCTCCTAAATATTGGTGCAGGGCCTGTAATTCTGAATTTCTTTCCATTAAGGCTTGCACCAACTTCTCTGCAGCAGCCTAGTAAGAGGAAATCACAAATAACATTATAAAGATATTCTAGTAAAACAAATTTTTTGTTCTGGTATTATTTCTTCAAAGTCAACCATTTGTAAAAAACAAACAACAATGACAACAACAAAAAACAGTGGGTCCTTAGGAAATAGTTTCCTTGCTTTCAGTTTACAGGGAAAAACAGAGTTAAGTGAATGGAAAGAAAGTCTCATAGGCAGAATATTGGGAAAAAAAACTGAATTTAACACATCTGTAACAGATAAGAGAATCTGAAATAGGTTCTGCTACAACTATCAGGCTAAGGTGTTAAGATTCTGGTTTGAATTAGTATAACAAATGTCTTTATTCTCGGATAGTTGCTTCTTAGGGGTGGATTCCTTTTCACTCAAACATTTGTGTGGTTTGCTCCCTTCAGGTCTTTGCCAAATGTCACCTTATCAGGTTGGTCTTTCCTGCATATCCTATCCAAAACAGCAATCTTGCTGGCCAAAGTATAAGATGAATATGTTTTGGGGATCCAATGATAGCATGGTGACTTTAGTTAATAATACTGTATTATTTACTTGAAATTTGCTAAGAGAGTAGATCTTAAGTGGTTTCACCATACACGCATAAAATGTGTAGTGACGGATGTGTTAATTTGATTGTGGCAATCACTTCAAAATGTATATGTATATCAACACATCATGCTGTACACCTTGAGTATATACAATATTTGTCAATTATACTTTAATAAAGCTGGGAAAAAAATTTTTTTAAAACCCAGCAATCTCTTCTCTATCTCCAACACTTCTTACTGTGCTTAATTTTTTTTCGATGCACTTACCATTATCTAATAGATCTCTCTCTCTGCTTCCCCTACATGGAATGTAAGTTTCCTAAAGGCAATTTGGTGCTGAATCTCAAGCACCCAGTACGGTGTCTGGCACATAATAGGCACACACTACATATTTACTGAATGAATCAATTACGCACATAAACATGTTTATCAGACCACATGATTAGGATAATCTCAACCTCAAAATCACCCAACTCAGCTTGTTTCATTTCAAATCCCAGTTTTCTAAGACAGATGATGACACAATAAGGGAAAGATCTAGAACATTTTTAACTATTAATGCACAGGAAGTCTGCATTTAAACAGAAAATCTGGAAATAATAAATTGATATTAAAATTACTGAGGGTCTAAGATGATGAATCATAACACCAACTGTCTCTGAGGAAAAGTACTATTGTTTTAGGGCAGAAGCTGAGCTCTTGTCACAATTTCTAGGGGAAATACGAAAAAAACCTTCCACTTTTCAGTAAGTAAAATTTGGGCTCTTTGGAGATTTGAATATAACTATTTTAGACGTATCAGAATATTATTAAAGTACCTTAATAAAAATATCTGTGAAAACTGTGGGGAAAAAACATAATAAATAATATACAAGATATATACTGTGCTCTATCTGCCTTGGCACTCCTTTTCTCGTAGTATTTAAGAGTTTTTAGCAGTGCTCCTCCAATGCAGTCCACGAACCTGCAGCATCACTATCACCTGGAAACTTGTTAGAAATGCAAATTCTTAAGTCCCACCTATACCTCGTAATTTCTTTCTCTGGAGTTGAGCTCCACAATCTACATCTTTAAAAAGCTATTCAGGTGATTTCTTTTGCACGTAAATTTAGAGAAGCAGATCTAGAAGAATACAACCATTAATCTTCTTGAGTTGAAAAATCTCCTGTAATTTCCATCATCTCCATTATTCTATTACCAGCAGTGCATAATTTTTTTTTCTGAGGTATAATAAAGACCAATTGTCCCAAATCACAAAGAAGTTAAAAAGAAAACTCAAAGATCCTAGCCTCTTGCCAAAGATTTAAATAATTTAGAATAATTTTGTTAGGTCTATTTTAGAAACAATTTCTGAAGCACACAGCAGGACCTTTCTAGAAAGATGTGTATTTACTTCAGTGGGCCTAACAATTAGAATAGTGGAGTATAATCCTTTCACAACATAAGAAAACATAAGAAAATATTATGGGGTCAAATAACATAGGCAAAAAAGAGTCTATCTTCCTCTAAAAACTGACTACGGGGATTCTGAGCTACTGGTATCTGAAATGCAGCACAAGTCAACTAAGAGTTTTTAGCCTTGAGGAGAAAACACATAGAAATGAGGAAAAATTAACAATTTACTATGGGCAGGGCATGGTGGCTCACGCCTGTAATCCCAGCACTTTGGGAGGCTGAGATGGGTGGATCACTTGAGGCCAGGAATCGTAAGCCAGCCTGGCCAACATGGTGAAACCCCACCTCTACTAAAAATACAAAACTTAGCGGGCATGGTGGTGCATGCCTGTAATCCCAGCTACTTGGGAGGCTGAGGCAGAAGAATTGCTTGAACCCAGGAGGCAGAGGTTGCAGTGAGCCAAGATTGCGCCATCGCACTCCAGCTGGGTGACAGAGGGAGATGCCATCTCAAAAAAAAAAAAAAAAAAAAGAATTTACTTCTTAAATATTGTGAAATTAATATACCCTGTACTATTATGAGATTGTTTATTCTCACCATGACCTCTGAAAAATGCGATCTTTTTTCCCTCTTAACTCAGATTTTACAAAAACTAAGAGTAAACATGTTGAGTGTAAGTTTTCCCATACCTTGACTGGAAATGCAAAATATTACTCAAGTCTTAACAATTTAGAATCAAAATCGAAACACTCACAACCCCTACTCCTTTCTCTCAAAATTATCAGATTATTAAGGAAAAGAAAATGTATGTAATGAAGTTAATGGATACATGTATTGTTTAGGCACCCTTCCAAATGCAAGGTTTTCAAGAAATGTGTCATACTTTGATGATTAATGTAAAACTGTGGTCTAAGGCCAGGCGCAGCAGCTCACACGTATAGTCCCAGCACTTTGGGAAGCCAAGGCAGGATGATTGCTTGAGCCCAGGAGTTTGAGACCAGCCTGTGCAACACAGCGAAACCCCCATCTCTAAATAAGTAAGTAAATAAATAAAACTGTGGTTTAGGTAATAAATAGAAGGAAAGAAACTAACAGAGTTGACGGTAAAATATATAAATATACACACATCTATAGTCTGCAAATGCTTCCTATTTGCAGACTATAAATGCACTACATGACACTTGTCTGATCTGTGCATTAATCCTTACTTGGCTTTCCTGCTCCCTGGTGCTCACAGACTGAAGCAGGCCTTGAATCTCCATTTCATGTTCCAGCACTTGTTTATTTCGATCACTTAGAAGGTCCTGCAGCATCCTTTCCTTTCACTGTAGACGCTGGCACAGCTCCTCTGCTATCTCACTCTGCCCTGGTCCAAGTTTGCAGAGCAATGTTGCACTAAGATCCTAATGCAGAAAGGACACTGTAAGCTTCTGGAGGAAAGAAATGCCTCTGCTAAATATCAAAGGGCTTATAAGAATCTATCATAGAAGAAGGAGGTGTGAGATTCTTGAGAATAAGTATCATGTTTTACTCATTTTTGTTTTACCAGATCTAGCATAGGCCTGCTACACAGAAGTCTCTAAATACATGTCCCAGGAATGAATACAAACCATACAGAAAACTATCTCTGGTGGCCACTTACATACATATTGTTTTCTGAAATAAGTCTTTTTCCTATTTGTTCAGGGCATGTAACAATTAATGTTAGATGAGGATAAATGGACACTCAGTTCATTTATTTGTTTTCTCCCCAGCGTAACTTAACAGGGGGAAGCATAAAACGATAAGCTGAAAGGAATACTAAACACTATATTTGCTATCATAGCGATGGTTTCTATTTCTGTACTAACTGATGGCACATGGTGGAGGAATGGAGCCATACTGCCTAGGTTGATACTGGATCTGCTACTTATTAGCTATGTTAGCTTGGACAAGTTACTTAGCTTCAGAAGTCTGTTTCCTCCTCTATAAAAAGGAATAATAGAAAGTGCCTCATGGACTTGTGAGGATCCAATGAGTTAATATCCATTAGGATCTTAAAACAGTACCTGACCCAGCATGAAGACTATAACTAATAAAGGTTAGCTATCATGTTAAAGATGCAATTTTTGGGTCTCATTAATTCTCACATAAGTCTTTGAGAAAGTTAATTGCCAACTTAAGTTTCTAGACGTGGGGAAAAAAAAAATCCCAGTGAAAGTCAATGACTTGCCCAGGCACAGAATGAAATTAAAGACTTGGGTCACAGGCCTCCCGATCTGAAGAGTCCTAATCCAAGGCTGAGATTACATAATCACTGAACCAACTGCCTTAAAGTTAACTGAAGTCTTGCCTCCACTTCTTTGTTCCTATCATGAAGAGACGTCTGTAACTGCTGAATGATACTCTCTTGTTCCTTCTGCCAACGGCTAAATTTGGTTTCCATTTCTTCTTTCAGCTACTGGAGGTTTTGACAGGTAGTAGATAACTGTTCCACTTCCAGGCCTTTGGCCCTCAGGAGACTCTCCATAGTCTACAGCCATAAAGAGAGCAATAATCAGTCAAAATGATTACCCCATACTCCTCAGGATAAACAAGAAATTAGATCCACTTTTAAATAATCTCCCATCAATTTTTTTTTATTTGCAAGATGAGAACATTGATCTAACAATGCCATACTAATCTATTTTTTTGGTTTTTAGAAACTTTTATCTAGTTTGTGGAGAGATTAAATATAGAATATATGATAAAAGGAAGTATTTTGGAGGAAGTGCACTATGCTATAAAGGATTTCTCGAAAAAGTGGCAGATAGATACATAAGCTCTAAAATAAATATGCAAAAAAGTCCACAGTAAATATAGATAAACAAGTGTTCTAATTATGGCAATTCATGGACATGTAGATAATATTAATGTAGAAGACACAATTTAATAATTGCACCCTGGTAATGCTTCAGTAAAAGTAAGAGAGAGAGAGAAGAGTGTGTGTGTATGTATACTTATGTATGAACAAGAATTGGAAATAAATCAGAACTATGTAAACAGAAATCAATATTTACTGGCTCTCCTCACAAAGTTCATATTACAAAAGAAAAGTAGAAGCGCTAAAATCTCTCACTTGCTAATTGACAATGATGGAACTAGTAACTGCTCTTTTTGGTTTTCTTCCCCCTTATAAAGCAAAATCCCTGGTTTTCAGAAAATGATGGAAGGGGGTCATGCTTCAGGCTCAGGATACAAGTGGGAGAGGAACACCAAGTCAGAGATAGGTTTTGCTCTTACTTGCATAGTAGCTTCATTGGAGGAGAGGACATCGCGCAGTCTCTCTAGGTCATGATCTCGCTCTCTCACAGCAAGACGAAGCTGGCGCAGTTCTTTTTCTTTCTCTTCTAGAGCAGAGAATTTTTCATCTATAGCCCGCTGCAAGGAAAGGAAGACTCCTAAAGCTCTGTAAGATTTACTATCCTGATCACTCTTATTCAACAAGATGGCAGAATAGAAAACCAAATCCCAAAGCAGCAAATTTAAGCAAACACAAATTTCTATAATACCTATGTAGATAGAATAATCCATAGCATAGTGGGCGAAATGATGATACATACCTCCAGAGCACAGCTTTATCACGTATTCGCTGGCGAAGTTTCTCAAGCAACATTTCATTTGCTTCAAGGGTTTTGTCTGAGTTATCTCGATACTGTAGGAGCTCCCGAAATTCCTGAGACCAAAAATAGTTTCTTTTATTCTTTTATCCAATATTAACTAAATTACCAAGTAATTTGCTAGTTATTCAGGATAAAAAAAAAACAAGATGTGATCGCTCTCCTCAAAAGTAACAAGTTTAGCAGAGATAACAGACATATAAACTGTAAACTATTCTGCAACATACAACAGACACAACACATAGAATTAACTGTTCTGCAACATACGCTAGCCACCAGGGGAACACAGGATGCACTGCCTAACTCTGCCTGAAGGTGTCAGTAAAGACCTCACAGAGGAGGTAATATTTGCAGTGAGTCTTAATTAAAGGACTAGGATTTCCTAAGTGAAGAAGGGAGAGGAGGATACGTTAGAGAAAAAAAAATATGCACACTATGCATACAATGAAAAAATTGTACATTCAGTGAAATGTAGTGGATTCAATGTGACTGAAGCTTAGAGTAGGTGGCAGAACAGATCAGTCTCTTCTTAATGCTCCATCTTCCCCTCAAACTTTTATTCTATCATCAAAATTACTCTGTGGAAGTTTCTGTACAGTTTGTCTTCATCTATTAAACTGAGATCAGTAGCCAAATCTTTTGTCTTCCCAACACCCAGAAAAGTGTTTGATTCACAGAGGTGCTTAATAACTATTTTCTGAATATTAAGTCTTTATAAAAGACTTCATAAAAGACTGCTTAAGTCAGGGCTATATGTACTGTTTCTTATACTTGTTAGTAAGCATCTTAATTCACAAATTATATTTTCTATTTATTTTAAATCCTCCTGATTCCCACCTCTCTCAATGTTTTCCATATGGCAGGGACTCAGCACAGGTGGATTAATATCTTAAAATTATATAAACAAATTTCAGAGTTCTATGAGCCCAGTTTTCATTGAAATCATGTAAACTCACCTGAAGCAACTGCTCCTTGTGACTCAGACTATGGTTTAGGTGCTGGATGTTTTGTTCCTGGGTTCGAATCTCATTGTATTTTTCAGCCTCCCAGGCACGAAGCTGTTGGCTCTTATTCTGCAATACTTCTTGTAGCTGCTGCAAGGCTTTTCGCAATTCCTGAATTAAACATATTACTTTTTAAAGAGATCTAAAATTGTCACATGGTTATTAGATACAGAGGCCTTAAAATTTTCAAGGTATATAAACTGAAAGAGGAGTAGAGGGTGCCATTATTAAAATTGCTATAGAAGTATTATACATGAATTGAATAGGATATGGAAAATTGTAAAAGTTGTGAATGGGGTAGGAAGTAAGCTTGATATTATAGTTCAATACTTATTTTTTGGCTTAAAAAGAATACATCTATAGAACCATTAAGTGAGAATCTGTCCTACGGTAAACCTGGATTATTTACAATAAGCTCAAGGATAAACTATTCCTATCATCCTTTTTTCTAAAGATCTCATAGAGACCATCACTCTTCTTTCTTAGTTTGCCATAATTATTTTTCTAATAATAAAGTCAGTAATCTTTAAATCATCTGTTACTTTAGAAAGCTACCAAATACATATTCTCAACTAAACAAATCTTGGGGAAATGTTTCCTTTAGCTAAATAACAAAAAGTTAAGAATTATTTCTATCTCCATCCCTCCACCACTCCCCGACCCTGCCCAGACATCTGAAATTTTAATATTTCTTTTTTTTGAGATGGAGTCTCACTCTGTTGCCCATGCTGAAGTGCAGTGGTACAATCTCGGCTCACTGCAACCTCCGCCTTCCGGGTTCAAGCATTTCTGTGCCTCAGCCTCCCAAGTAGCTGGGATTAAAGGCTCCTGCCACCACACTGGGCTAATTTTTGTATTTTTAGTAGAGACGGGGTTTCACCATCTTGGCCAGGCTGGTCTTGAACTACTGACCACATGATCCACCCACCTCGGCCTCCCAAAGTGCTGGGATTACAGGCGTGAGCCACTGTGCCCAGCCAAAATTTTAATATTTCAAAAGGAAATTCAGGGCTAATATTTGATCTCCAAACCACTAAACCAGGGAGATCCTTCAAAAATTACTTTTAAACCTGAGTGTTAAAGAGCTTAAGAAGAGACCACACACAAAAAAATCTTTTAAATCTTAAACAAACACATACACTCTGACCTAACAAGATAAAGGAACCATTTAAGAGTTGTGTATTTTGGCCCAGCGTGGTGGCTCACGCCTGTAATCTCACCACTTTGGAAAGCCAAGGTGGGCAGATCACCAGAGGTCGGGAGTTTGAGACCAGCCTGACCAACATGGAGAAACCCTGTCTCTACTAAAAATACAAAATTAGCCAGGCATGGTGGCGCATGCCTGTAATCCCAGCTACCAGGAGGCTGAAGCAGGAGAATCGCTTGAACCCGGGAGGTGGAGGTTGCAGTGAGCCGAGATTGTGTCATTGCACTCCAGCCTGGGCAACAAGAGCAAAACTCTGTCTCAAAAAAAAAAAAAAAATGAAAGAAAGAAAGAAAAGAAAAGAAAGAGAGAGAGAGAAAGAAGGAAAGAAAGAGGCCGGGTGCAGTGGCTCACGCCTGTAATCTCAGCACTTTGGGAGGCTGAGGCGGGCGGATCACGAGGTCAGGACATCGAGACCATCCTGGCTAACACGATGAAACCCCGTCTCTACTAAAAATGCAAAAAAAATTAGCCGGGCATGGTGGTGGCCAGTGCCTGTAGTCCCAGCTACTTGGGAGGCTGAGGCAGGAGAATGGCGTGAACCCGAGAGGCGGAGCTTGCAGCGAGCCGAGATCGCACCACTGCACTCCAGCCTGGGCGACAGAGCGAGACTCTGTCTCAAAAAAAAAAAAAAAAAAAAAAAAAGAAGGAAAGAAAGAGAGAGGAAAGAAAGAAAGAAAAGAAAAGAAAAGAATCGTATATTTATTATTCAAAAATAAAAAATAAAAAACAGGGCTGATTATTATGCATGTCATTCCTCTGACCTTAGTGGTTCTTCCCCACTTTTCTGCCTGGTTTTACCCATCCTTCAAGAATAACCTCAGATGTCTCCTCCTTCATGAAGTTTTCCTTGATTCCTTTTCCTTGACTCCTTTCCTAGATATTCCTGTAGGACCCCATATATACATCCCCTTCAGAATTTACCACACTGAAACTCAGCTTATGTGACTGTCTCTCTTACTGAACTATAAGTAACTTAAAAGAAAGGAGCCTGTGCTATTCATCCTTGTATTTCCAGGGCACAACTCAATACGGCAGTCGCCCCTTACCCACAGGGGATACATTCTAAGACGCCCAGTGGATGCCTGAAACCAGATAGCACTGAAGCCTGTGTATACTGTTTTTTCCTGTGCATAGATAACTATGATAAAGGTTTACATACAAATTACACGTACTGACAGATTAACAATAACAATAAAATAGAAGAATTATAACAACATGCTGTAACAAAAGTTACGTGAGGGAGGCCGAGGTGGGCAGATCACGAGGTCAGGAGATCGAGACCATCCTAACACGATGAAAACCTGTCTCTACCAAAAATACAAAAACAACATTAGCCAGGCATGGTGGCGGGCGCCTGTAGTCCCAGCTACTCTGGAGGCTGAAGTGGGAGAATGGCATGAATACAGGAGGCGGAGCTTGCAGTGAGCGGAGATCGCGCCACTGCACTCCAACTTTGGCGACAGAGCGAGACTCTGTCTCAAAAAAGAAAAGTTACGTGAATGTGGTCTCTCTTAAAATATCTTAATGTTTTTTGTCTGTGGTTGACCCCAGATAACTGAAACCATGGAAAGTGAAACTGTGGATAAAGAGGGACTACTGTAACTAGCATATGGTACAAGGGCAGCAAGTGTTGAACTGAAATACTTAGATTATGCAACTGACTCAAGGGTTCAACACAAACTGTCCTGCTAAAAAGTTATGATCAGGGCAAAGTCAGCATTTAGGGCAATAAAATAGTTAATGATTTACCTGGTTATGTTTCCAAGAAGCCTCTTTCTGCTGTTCACTCTCGTGTGCTGCAGCCTCTACAAATTGCACACATTGTTTGGCATCAGCCAGTTGGCGCTCTTTCTGTCGTACCACCCTCTGGAGCTTCTGTATTTCAAGTTGGCTGCAGAATAAAGCACTCTGAAGATCAAGCAGAGCTACCTGTTGCTGAGCTGGAGAAGTACCCTCTGAGCTCTGAAAAGAGAGTAGAAATCACAATCACAAGGAGGGCAAGCACTGAGCTCCCACAAAGACTGAAAATAAAATCAAGACTGCAACCAAAATGGCACATCCCCAACTGAAGTCTCTCCTGTCCTATGTGACCCTCACATACGTGAAGTTGTCCAAGCTGGCTTTGGTGCAGCATTTCTCGAAGCTTTGCCATTGTGTCATTTTGACCTTCAATTACCTGGTACAACTCCTCAGTCTGAAAATGAGAGAGGGAATATCAAATATGTTAGTAAACTAATTATAAATTCCATTATATCACCTGTACACATTTTAGTAACAGGACTATTCCAAAATATCAATTGAGATTAAGCTACAACTTCTCCAGGCTAAGACATGCTAGTCTGACAATATCCATTTTGACAAAATATAAAATACTTGTCTACTTTGAAGGGACCAATTGTTTCCACACAGGTCCTTGATTGGTAAATATGTTACCTCATGTTCCCTGCTTTTCAGAGTTTCCTTGAGGTTCTGAATTGTACCATCTTGCTTTTGAGACAACTCCTGAGCACACTTTAGTTCATAGCTCATTTCATTAAGTTTCTCTTGAAGAATCTGAATTCAGCAAAGAAAAACAGTTTTTTAGGTCAATGATGTCTTTTAGCCTCAAATGAATAAAGCCTTTCCTCAAATCTAGGATTTAAAGAATTTCTTAGGGGATATTACCTTGTTATTTTTCCTACATAGAGTAACCATTAAAGTGGTAAGTCAATCAGCAACAAAAAGTAGCAGGAGAAATGAAATACTTCCTTCAATACTAAATTGTCTCAATTTTCATGCACTGTGATCTCTCTATGATGGCAGCCATACTAGGAACTTGTCCACATGGACCAAGTAGGCAAGTGGTTTCTAATATGGATCCCTTATACAAGGACCAAAGAGCTTCTGCTATCTAGCATAGGAGAGGGCACTATAAGGGCACCCAGGCCACAAGTTCAGCATCCCAAATTGTAGCAATTTTCTTCTAAGCCAGACATTAAAATTCATGGGCTAGAAAGTAGTAACAAGTTAAGCTAAAATAAAAAACACAGACCTCCTATCTCAGTGCCTTTTACAGTGGAAGATTGCATGCAAGTGTTTTTTTGAGACAGAGTCTCTCTCTGTTGCCCAGGCCTGAGTGCAGTGGCATGGTCCTGGCTCACTGCAACATCCACCTCCTGGGTTCAAGCGATTGTCTTGCCTCAGCCTCCCAAGTAGGTGGGATTACAGGCGTCTGCCACAACGCCTGGCTAATTTTTTTTTATTTTTTAGTAGAGACAGGGTTTCACCATGTTGGCCAGGCTGGTCTCGAACTCCTGACCTCGTGATCCTCCTGCCTTGGCCTCCCAAAGCACTGGCATTACAGGCATGAGCCACTGCGCCGGCCTGCATGCAAGTTTTAATTACACACCTGAAAAGCACCAGAAATTATGATCTGTATAGAACAAGCTAAAATCTTCATAAGAATAAAGGGAAGAACTACACTTTTACATGAAATATTCCCTAGAGCACAAGGAGTACACAGTATTCATCTCCCAAGTCCTACAAAGGTTGACAGACTCAGGCTAGAGCCAGTCACATCCTCAGGAAAACCTTGTCATCTCCTAGGGCATAGTACTAATCATACCTTGTTGGTGGCCTCTGTTTGCTGGATTTTTTCCTGGAGTTCTGCCAAGTGGGAATCAGATACAGACTGCTGAGTTATAGTGGTCTCATGTGAATTCAGCTTTTGTTGTTTCAGCAACTCTTCAGTCATGGGCTAGGAAGAAACGGCAAAACGAGTAAGGTGAGTTAAACATGGCCAACAAAAATTTTTTTTTGTCTTCAAAAATGTCTGTTGCATCTTTTGCCAGAGATTTAGAGAATCAGATTTGTTGCATAAATTATCAGTATGAATTCCTAAAGACAGGTCTGTTCCTTATTAAGAACACTGATTCACCTCCATTTGTACTATGCTCCCCAGCTTCCCTCTCCACTTTTCTGTACCAATTCACACAAACACTACATGTTTATTCAGCGAAAGCAAGTAATTCAGAGTTCAATGAGAAGGGGAGGATTTAATAAAGGAAATGCTTACAATGACCAAATATTTGCTTTATTCTATTTTTAATCAAGGAGTTGAAAAGGCATACTCATCAAACTTACACTTCCTGAGAGAAGTTACATTCCGGCTACCTTTCTTACAACATGCTTGTTTCACATTATTGGAAAAAATTGGCAGATTTTGATATGGACTATATATTAGGTAACAGTATTTTATCAATGTCTAATTTTCTAAATTTGATAATTGTACTGTAATTATATAAGAGATGTCCTTGTCCTTAAGAAATAATGCTTAAGTATTTAGGGTAAAGGAGTATACTATCTACAACTAATTCTCAAATGGTTCAAGAATTTTTAAAAAATACTGTGCAAATACAGACAGTGGGAGAGTTTATAAAGCAAATGTGACAAAATATTTGCAACTGGTAAATCTGGGTAAAGGGTATATGGGAGTTCTTGGTATTTCTCTTATAACATCTCTGTACGTTTGAAATTATTTCAAAATAAAAAGAGAAAAATTAAAATAAATTTAAAATAGATGTGCCTAAAGGCAGATTTATAGCATAAGCACAGATAAATAATCCATAGTGAAATGGGAAAGAGATATATTTTATAGGAATATCAATTCACTTAAAAGATTCAGGAGAAAAAAGTATGATTTTATATATGGGATAATTTATATATGGAACAATGATTTATATATGGGACAATAAGATAAACTTATTGAACTATTCTTAGTAATCATTACAAGCTAAGGATGTTAAAATAAAACTACAAATTTACTGCGGCAATTAAATTTGATCTTCCCGCCTCCATACCTGCTTCCATTCCAATTAGGAATATAAACTCATTAAGAGAGAAAAGGCAACTGCTATTCATTTTTTGTTTCCCTCACACTTTCAGACTTGATTACCACCTTCAAGGCAGTGGAGTTACAGCTTACCTTAAATCCCTTCCTGCCAGCAACTGACTGGAAGCATAAAAATTGCAGAAGAAAAATCTCTTCTATTCCTCCAGTGCTATTTATCAACTTTTCTAACACCTACTAAATGCTATAATAAGCAAAGCACCATGTGAGGCACTGTGAGGAATACAATGCTGACATAACATATATCTGTTGCACACTAACTATGTGCTAGGCACTGTCTTGAAGATAGAGTATCATGCAAGACAAAGTCCCTGTGCTCTTGAAACTTATATTTTGCAGGGGTTGGAGTGGGGAGTACATGATAAACAAACAAGGAAATGCAAAAAATATTATGGACAAGCCCTGTGTGGCAAAACAGGAAAGCATAATACAGAGTGGGTGGTTAAATTACCCTAAATTGTTTGATCAGAGAAAGGTCTTTATGAGGCAGCATTTAAATAGATATCTGAAGGAAAAAGAATCAGTCCTGCAAAGATCAGCAGAACAATCCAGGCAGAAAGAACAGCTAATGGAATATGAGCCTGGAAAAGAGAAAGGCCTCTGTGGCTAGAATAGCACTCTCCAATAGAAATATAATGTGAGCCATGTATGTAATTTTTAATTTTCTAGTAGCTTCAATGAACAAAGTACAAAATAAATAGGTAAACTTAATTTTAACAAAATATTTTATTTAACCCAATATATCCAAAATGTTATCATAAACATGTAAATAATATAAAAATTATTAATGAGATAACATTATTATCTGAGATAATATTACATGATTTTTCATAAGTCTGAAATTCAAGGTATATTTTATACTCACAGCACATCTCAATTTGGACTAGCCACATTTCAAGGGTTCAACAGCTCCTAAGACTAGTGGCTAGCTTACTGGATAGCACAGGGCTAGAGCATAGTGGGCAAAGGGGACAGGGAAACTCAATGAGATGGAGAGGCAGGCAGGCACCAGGTCACATCCAGCTTCAGACAACAAAGTTAATGAACTGGATTTCATTTTAATTGAAATGAGAATAGACTGCAGTTTTTTAACAGGTAATCATACAGAAGTTTTGAAAAGATCATGCTATGGTGAATGAATTATTGGGGAGCACCAAGAGAAGCAGAGAGACCAGGTAGGAGGCTGCTGCGGTAGTGCAGGTGAAAGACAATAGTAGCTTGGATCCTGGTGGTTAGTAAAGGGAGGGGGAAATAAATGGATAGATATGGATATGTTTTGAAAGTATAGCTAACAGGACTTGCTGGTGGACTGGATAGAGGGAGAGGGAAAAAAGCAGCAAGGATAATGACTTCTGGAAAAATTATTTGAGATATTTGTTGTTGTGGGTATAACAGGAAGCCTTCACCTGAGGCAATATGAACTATGTCACACCATGGGCAAAGTAACCACATAAACAGATGTTTACAATGATTCTAACTAATAAATAAATTCATCATTTACTTAATGATAAAACCATCTCTATAAAATTTGGCTTCTTACTTCTTCAGCGTAAAACAACAGTAACACCTACAGTAAGATACTTTGAAATTCAAACTACAACAGGCAGAATTAAAGAAAATAGCTTCAAGTTTAAAATGGCAAGGAAGGTGGTCATATTTATTTACTTTAAACCAAACAATCTTACAGTGGTGAAGGAAACTTTATAAACTAACCATCTGATCCAATCCTATTTTACATACAAGGAAATGGAAACTTAGAGAAGTAATTAGTCCAAGGTTTCATGGGAAATCAGGAAAAAGATCCAATTAAACTGAACTGGATTTCCACTCAGGTTGGGAATGTATCTCTCATTTCTATAAACCCATTGCCTACCATAATGCCGGGAATACTGCAGAGATCAAAAGTTTTTGTTTAATGAACAAATAAGAACAATAAAAACAAACAAAAACGGGCCTTTAGTGGCTCTCTTAGAAATAAGACTGTATATAACATATATTCGAACAGCAACTTTAAAGCCAAAGAATGCCACAGGAAAATACATAATGTATTTGAATATCATATGAATCAATCTTGACATGAATAATAATAAGAAACCTCTTTTTCTATAAATAATGTACTGACCTAAAAGTTGGAAGATATTTGTTTCTTCTTTATTTGTAATAATTTACTATTTTGCATCTCAGAAAAATGTCCTTGCAGGTAACAGTCTGCTGAAAGAGCACTTAGCAAGTCCCACTAAGCCAACAACATAATGAATTCTTGTGAAGTATCAAGTACATAAAACAGTCACTCCTACAATGATAGTGTAGCCCATGAAATAAGTAATACCTGATTTGGTAGAATCAGTGTTACTCTCTAGACACTCAGGTACTAAAATCATGTGGAAATGATAATATAATTTTAAATTAAGTCACTTTTGACTCAGAATTAGGACAAAGGCTTTCCAGTATCAGAAAAGAGAACCGCTTCCAGGCCTAGTGTTGCACAATATGAGACTTTTTTTTAGGCTAAGGCCAGTTTTTAGACTTTTTGTGTTAACAGCAGTTTTCTTGGCACTTTCTAGTCCTCACAGTAGTGAGTTATAGATCTCAAACTGCTATAATTGTCAACCCTATTGTTAATAATAGGAGACAGACAAGAACCATTGACTACCATAAAATTAAAGGCCTAATCTTTTACCAGCATCTAATGCCAACATCTTCCAAAGGGCCTGATCCACTTCACATAACTAAAATAAGAGTGGGATAAATTTACCATAGTCACAAAGGAGCAGACCTTGGCATTGCAAGGTTTAAGGCAAAGATCTTCTGTTCTTTGAATTTAGATAGAAAGGGAAATTGCACATGGGCCAGAGCTCATTGCTGTTTACTAAGGGACCACATCCCTCCCATCATAGCTTTTCTAGTTCAGGGCCAGACAATGAAGAAGGGAATTACCAGCTAGAAGAAGGCTTCAAACCTTTCTTTAGATATCTGAACAGCCTTAGGTCCTCATACATAAATTCTGTAGAAGGAAAATAAATTACTTTGTATAATATCAGAATATCAGTAAGCAGAACTACACTGTTGCTATTTTTCTTTAATAAATAAGAAAGGAACAAAGAAAAAGACGGAAAGAAGGAAAGAAAAAAAGAGGAAAAGCAATCAGGAGGAATCCTGATGTCAATATTTAATAGTGCATAAAATATGGTAAGTGGAGGATTAAACAAAGGAATCAAAATAACCTTACAGAACAATCTTGCTCTTTAAGATAAAAGGTTTTCTCCATATTTGTGGCAGAACTGAACTAAAGGAAACATTTTTTTCTTTCATGGTTTCGTGTTTCTACAAACTAAAAAAGAGAACTACCAAAAAAAATTACATTATTTCTATTCTTTCCATATTTGTTCAGAGAAATAGACAAAAACCAGTCTGCCATTGTCCCATCTAGCACTGGTTTTGTCATAAGGCTCTTAAGGAGCTTAAAAGTAACCAGATTTAAACAATAGATACACTGCCCATTTTATTTACAAACATGTTGGGCCCAATTCATCTATTTTCCCTGACATCCTAAATTATTAGAGAAAATGGCATAATAATTAAATGCCACATTTCTTGAAGCTGAATGACATTTTCTCCCACCTCCTAATTTTTGTTTTTCTAGAAACAGTAAACAATGTAAGTCAAGTCACAGCAGAAAGGTCATACACTACCATCTTAAAGCTCTAATGTCCAAATTTAGTGAAGTAAAGGGACTTGACCTAAAGATACAGTTACCATAGTTTATATGTGTTCATTCAGATGACAATTTTTTTCACATAATCTCTAAAGAATCCTCCGAGCATCCTTAGGTTAGAGAAAGAGGGCTCCTGGTTTAAAATAAGTACTTACTTAAATTAATATACTTCAGACAATGGGGTTTAATGTATAGAATTAAAGTGTCTTGCCTGAGAATGGTCAGAAATCTTTGTCTCTGCATGGGCTACGTTAGTTAAACAAGGAACTTTCTATATCTCCAAATTGAGAGACTGCCTGAAGATGATCTTTAAAATCCTTCTCCACTCCAAAATCCAGTCACCAAAATACAGTATTTTATTTAAATACGGAGAAAAAAAGATCTTGTTTTGGCTGTTATTTTCTCAGTCTTTATGTAACGTTCTACAATATTGGTCATATTTGGTGGCGGGCTGGGGGGACGAGTTTATTTCCCATCCATCCTGGCCCAACTAATTTTAGACCCTAATATGAAAACACCATGTTTAATTTGTAACACCTATGTCTAGTCACAGAAATACTGTAAAGCCCAAATTTAGCTGCGAGGCTCCACTGAAAGAAAAAGCAAAAGAAAAGAAGTACACAATGTTAAGCATACAGTGCTTAACATTTTATACAAAATGAAAATGCACTGACTTTTTACCTTTCATGACACTTTCATCTATGCTGTTTCTCATCTATGCTGCTTCTCATAATTTTGTGTAAATTTAAAAACTTTTCTCCTGTTTTCTGCTTAGGTTCTTATTGTGATAGACAGTATACATACCATAGAACTACTTTCCAAAAATTTCAAGTGGCCATCAACAATGTCACTTATCAAGCTCTAAATTTCTGGAATGACGTTGACCAGTAGCAGGCTTTCTAAAAAATGCCTTCTAGATCACATCTACCTTTGTGACAGTATTGTTAAATAAGTTGTATCAAGTGGAACATGCCAGAATGTTTCACAAAGTTTATTGAAGCTAGCATTTACTGTTGCTATAGAAACAAACTACCATAGTTGAATTTAAAAGGTTGGTACAGAATCAATTGGGCAGACACGAATAGCTCAAATTAAGCAATTAAGAATTCAAGACTGTAATGAATGAAACTCTCCTCTGATCCAATAATGGGTTAATCCTTTCTTAATATCAAATATCTTCCAGTAGAACTCAGTAGAGTTCTGGCTGTGAACAGTTTATGCCTTAACCTTTTGACTGACAATACTGTACTTGAATACTTGAATTCCTGTCTCTTTTATGAATGAGTCATCACTAATCCTCAAATGAACTATTAATTCTAATTAATATGGTCCAGATGTTATAATACTTTACTGGTGGATTAATAGGCTTTCCCCAAACCTTTTACCTTATGCTCTAATCATTTACAGGCATTTTGCGGATGAAGGCTTTAATGCTCCAGGAAGAACTAACTAGAGAACTAACTGCCTTACAGAAAACCATTGGGAGGAAACGTCTATAAATCTGAAAACAAGAACAAATCTTAAAAGTTGGAAAAAAAAAGAGGTAAGAGGAAAAGTTCTAGTGCCAGAAATGAGATTAAATGTCTTCTTTTTATAGGAAAAAAGTGAAGTAGGAATTTTTACCTTTTTGTTTTAAAAGGTATACAATTTTGATAATGGGAAAGCCAACAGATTTTACAAAAAGGATTGTGAAAATCAAATTGAGTGCAAATCACGTTTACTAAATGAGACATAGCAAAAGGTGCAGCAAAAATGGGGTCATGACTAATTTTCTCAAGTCCAGAATATTTCTAACCTCCACCTAGACCGAAATCACGTGAAGCCAGAGGCCAGCTAGCTATAATCAGAAAGGCACTATGTAGACGTTTTGTATACCTGGACCCGGAGAGGCAAATAATCTTCACAGAGATCATCCCACAGCTCCTGCAGGTCTGAAAGCTCCAAGGGATAACTCACAGGTGTCTTGTAAAGGGGTTTCAAAGACCTGTTAAGGAAACCGGAACTAACTCCATCTGTCATGCTAGGGCCAGGCTTGGCTCCAGGTAGGCTGGATTTCACTGGAATCGGAAGCCTGCTCCCTCGGGGGCTCTGGATGGGCTTATAATCAAGACCTTTAATCATGCTAAGAGCTAATTCCAGCTTGTGATTACACCCATGCTGCGGAGCCTGATCATCTGAACAACAGTCACACTTTCCAAGTTCCTTTGCACTTCTCTCAGTCTCCTCATCTTCCTGTTGTGGAGGGCTAGCCTGGACGCTTGCATCCAAAGATTCCACAGAGGAACCAGGCGTCTCTTCCTCCATGCTTTCTCCATCTGGGGGTACCTTTGTGCTTGCTAAGTCGGGTGGCCCAACCTCAGACAACGCTGGTTCTTCAGCGCAAATGCTGGTCGACCACCTGCTAGAAGGGCCGCAGGAGATACTTCTGGCCACCTTTCGAGGTACCTTACAAATGGCTTCATAGTCAGAATCAGCAACCCGCAAAGCGGCACAACCACGGCATCTCCTGGGTCGGTTTCCAGGGCCTTCTGAACCATGGCAGCTGTGTGGCTCCTGGATCTGATCCTCATTCTCCACCCAGCACTCAAACCCTGAATAGGCGAAGTCCTCCTGGAGCAGTGTAGAGTATCTCGCATCGGGTAAGACGGACATGTCAACCGTCCCATTCCCCGCCTTGATCTCCACGCCAGAGTCATCGTTATTCTTCCGATACATACTGGCAATGCAGAACTTGAGGCGATCCTTCTCCAGTTGCAGCTTTTGCAAGCGCTCAATAGAAAGCGCTTCAATCCGGGCAATAACTGTGTCGAATCGATAGATTCGATCAAGCATGAAAGCACACTTGCTGCAAGCGAACTCGGCTTTGCCATCGCGGGGGACATCCTTGCCCAAGACGTGCGAAAGCAGAACCTGGAGATTGAGCTTGGACGCCGTGTGGAAGATCCAGCGCCGCTGGTTTCCACACAGCTCTCGGGCACAGATCCTGCAAATCTCCTTCATCTTCCCTCCTAGCGGGTGGCAAGCTTCCCGAGGCGGCGGCGGCGGCGGCTACTGGGTGACCACTCAATGGCTCTTCGCCGCGCTCTGTCTCCCGCCTCGGTGGTCTCCGGTCAGCATGGCACAGCCCAGTGGGGTCCCCACTCTGCAGGGGCGCGCCCCTGTCCCGCGCGCCGACTCCGGGTACCAGAGCCGTCAGCCCCGCCCCTCGGGCAGGGGGCGGGCGTGGAAACGCCTAAGAGGATGCTGAGTGACAGAGGCGCAGGCCGCGCTCCGACCCTGCCATGTCTCTCCCCAGCTGTCTCTCCCGCCAGCCGCCGCGTCCTCAACGTCCTCCCCTTTTAGCAGACTGGGCTCCCGGAGCAGCAGCGGCCGGCCGCCCAGACGCAAAGCCTCGGGGATGGAGGATCAGATTTCAAGATGGCGCCAGCGGCTTCGCGTCTGCGGCCTCCACAAGGCTCTTCTGGGAGCTGTAGTCCGGTCAGCGGGCTTCCGGCTCTGCGCATGCGAGGTAGCCAGCGCGACCCTCGCCCCAAATCCGGTTGCACACCTGGCTCACGGCGAGTGCGGAGCAGAAAGCACTACTGGCGCGGGCCACAGCCAGCCGCTTTCATCTGCTAAGACCTCACCTGAAAGGCGCACCAGTGCCCTCAAGGATCCTCCCGCCTCTGCAGGATGTCGAGGCTCCTCCTCGCCGGGAGGAGAAAGCGGAATCCCCTCCCTGCATTCTCGGACAGTGCCACGTCCTCCGGCTGCCAGCGGGGCAGCGCCGCTAGGTACCGCTGCGCGCCGCCCCCGCTTCCCGCCAGCAGCCTCACCTTTCCCGGCCCCGCCCCGCCTGGGTTCTAAGGGCCTGAGGCTGCGAGGCAGGCGAGGGAAGGCTTGGTAACGGAGGGGCGGGGCCGTGCAACCCTTACCTCGACTCTGAACAGGAATGTCCAGAAAAGAGTAGAGGAGTGTTTCTCCCTTGATGTGGGTGGGGGAGGGTTAGTACCCGTGGGTGACTTGCCCTTCTTTAGATAAAAAAGCACAGAGCAGTCACCTAAGAGTCCGGCACATACAATGTGAATCTGGTTAACCAAGATCTTGAAGATAGTAGAAGAGAAATGGGCTTTTTTAAGGATGCAGCCAGCCGCGAGTAGATTACCACCATTGAAGTCCCTTTCCCTCAGGTAGAGGGCAGTCATTATTTTAGGACAGGGGACGGTAGACAAACACTAGCGCAAAAGACAGAGCTTCTTTCCGTAAGAGCTCGAGTGTCTGGGAATGCAGCTCGCGCCAGAAAGGACTGGGAACTTCACTGACTTCGGTGAAAACCATGTCTTACTCAGCATTGTACAGTGATAGGTCCTCCACCCTTGGGTCCAAAACTTAGATTGCACACAAAGAGGAGGGAAGCTGGAGCCCTGACTAGGTAGAATGCTGGTACCTCCGGCCATTTTTAATAAGGAATTATCTTCCTGGCTTGAGAGGCATTCAGACACGTAACAAGAGGAACAACCTCAGCAATCACTTGCAGTCCCCTAGAGCAGGACATTTCCCAGTTCTAATCATGCTAAATTTTTACTAACTTGACCTTGTAAGCTAAGGCCAGCAACATCTAAGTTTTTCTGAACCTCATCCCCAGGACAGAGTCCATAGTCCTAAGCCTGAAGACATCCAAATGCCATCTCTGAGAGTTCATAATAAGCCCCCAAACTTCTTATTGAAGACTAAATGAGATGATTTTGAGGAAATGCTTTAACCGTGTTTCGCTCATTAAATAATAGCTAATATTATTATTTTACTATGAATTGGAATATTTTCAGTAACTTTAAAACATTATGGGGCCCTGCCTACATAAGATTGTATTGTTCTCTTAATCACCAAAGCAAAATCTTGTAGCTCCATTGTAAGAGAAAAGGACAGTTCTTAGAGCTTTGGGCTTAGTAGGTGATATGATTTGAATATATGGCCCCACCAAATCTCATGTTGAATTGTAATCCCCAGTGTTGGAGGTGGGGCCTGGTGGGAGGTGTTTGGGGCGGTGCGGGGGGCAGATCCCTCATGGGTTTGTGCTACCTTTGCAATAGAGAGTGAGTTTTTCTGAGATCTGGTCATTTAAAAGTGTGTGGTGCCTCCACCGCTCCATCTTGCTCCTGCTCTGGCCATGTGACTTGTTTGCTCCCCCTTCACCTTCCTGAAGCCTCCCCAGAAGCCAAGCAGATACCAGCACCATGCTTCCTATAAAGCCTGCAGAACTGTGAGCCAATTAAACCTCTTTTCTTTATACATTACCTGGTCTCAAGTATGTATAGCAATGCAAGAATGGCCTAATATCAGGCTATAGAATTTTGCATATGTAATTTCATCTACTATGTATATTCTGTCTCAAAAACCAAGAATAGAAAAGCAGTTCAAGTAAAACCACAGCTGCATTTTTGCCTGCCTCTAGGTATGTGAGCTTCAAAGTTGGAAGAAATTAAGCAACATGCTTTGGAATCTATGGTGATCTATAGAAAGGCAAAGTTTCTGGACTCACCCTGACTGATGGAAAGACAGACTGCCTGCCAGGACACTACCCTGCTGTACCCAGTCTTAAGTATAATAAAGATCTCATTTTTTACTGTCAATGCAAGCCACATTTTCCTATTAGGAAAATGTGAATGAAACAAAGTGCTCTTCAAGAGCAAACCCTGAATTATACTTTGGGTTATTCTCTGTTCCTCAAAAGGATTTTGCATCTAACTGATAGTCTCCAAATTGTAATGACAGTATATAGATAGCTTGGTGTAGACATACAGGTCAATACAAATGGAGAAAAGGCAATTTGCCATTGAAGAATATGTTTGCTTTAAGTAAAGATCAATATACTAAGAAAGCTATACATATCTAGACTTCCAAAAACAGATGGGAATAAACTACTCAGCAATCAGAATATTCGAAGATGGCACTCTGTTCACTTCCAGAGAAAATAGTTCAAAACTGTATCTCAAAGTGGATATAAGCTATTGTACTAGAATTAGTCCCTGTGTGAGCATTTGGCATTATAAAATAAGATGTTCCCAATGAAAAGATCACTGGTATGTAGATAATAAAATGTGAAAATAAAAATTTAAAAATAAAACAAAAATTATGTGATAATAAATTTTGCACTCCTTGGTCCTTATCATTATTATCTTGTGGTCAAGAGTTTGCAGTTGAACTGGTTACCTATGGTGGGGCTATACAAGGACATTTACTTTTTATTCTACATACTGTGTATCATTTGAATTTTGGACAATGAATGTTTATTCAGGTATTAATTTTAGATTTTATTTAATTTAGAAAACATTTTATAGTTAAAATAAGGGCTGCCAATTTAACACACTAATGTCAGGGTCTAAGTGGTAAAACTTGAACCTAAAATAAGAATTTTTATACTACCTATGATAAATATATAATATAAGAAGATAACTTATATAAACAAAAGTTCAAAGGGGATCCACAAGTTATTAGTAATGGTTATGTCTAGAGAGTGGAATTATGGACATTTATTTTCTTTTTTCCTTATTTTCTATAATTTTTTACATTATGTATTACATACTTTAAATAACTTTAAGTACTTACTGCTTTTGTACTTAAGTATATAAAAAGAAAAAATATAATTGTTACTAAGAAAAAGGTAGATGAAACACATTTTGGTGTATTCATACAATACAATACAGTACTAGCCAGCGATCAAAAAGAATGAACTCAGATACATGCAACATGGATACATCTTGAAAACATTTTAAGTGAAACAAGCCATATGCAAATGAGTACATCCTGTGTGATTCCATTTATTTGAAGTCTGACAACAGGTCTACAGCCGTACTACCCTGAATGCACCTGATCTTGTCTGAAGTCTAATAACAGACTATAGGAAAAACAGATCTATTGTGATATAAGTCAGGAAGTGGTTGAACGGTGAGAGACAGGGTGAGAAGTGATTGCAAAGGGGCACAAAGAAATTTTCTGAGGTGATGAAGCTGTTCTGTATCTTGTTTTGGATGAAGATAACATAGGTGTATAGAATTGTTGAAGCTCATTGAACTGGGCACTTAGATCTGTAGATTGTATACATATTAGTATATTTCAATTAAAAAGATTAAAAGGAGTAAATAAATTAAAACTATGTGTTTCCCTCAAAATTTTAATTTGAGGGATTTCTTTGGTAGAAAGTCACCCGCACTTTAAGAACAGTTTTGAAAATTAGGGAAATGCTATAAAATATAGCCCAGAAGAAATTCTGTAAAAGACCCAATTGCAAATTAAAAACTTAAGCCTATCCATATGAGTTTTTTTTTTTTTTTTGAGACGGAGACTCACTGTGTCACCCAGGCTGGAGTGCAGTGGCACAATCTCGGCTCACTGCAACCTCTGCCTCCCGGGTTCCACTGCGCCCCACCTTAGGATAATATTTTATATGCATGTGTACACCAAACACTTATGATTGGAGCAAGGCATGTTGTTAAGGTGAGACTTAGGGCTTTTGTAATGATGTAGTATAAAATTATTACTTCTAAAACCTAGTGAAGGCACATAACGAAAAGTTTGAGAATAAGCTTCATATTATGATTAAACAAATTATTAATTTTATATATCAACAGTTCACCCTGAACATTGATTAATAAATACATTTACAAGCACTTACTTGCTTTATGGCCTAGGTTAAGTCACTTATATCTGGCTTTTAATTTCCTAATCTACAATGAAATATGTTGAATTTAAACAGCAGTTTTCAAACTTAAGCATGCATCAGAATCACCTGGAGGGCTTGTTAACATAAATTGTTGGGACCTACCCCCTTGAGTTTCTGACACAATAAGGTCTGGGGTGGGGCCCAAGAATTTGCATTCCTGACAAGTTCCCAGATCATGTTGATGCTGCTATCTGGGAATCACACTTTGAAAACCACTGAATGAGAACTATCCTAAGCTGTATCAGACAACAGATCAGAACTTCTGCAGATAGACAGAAAAGCACACCAATGAAGAACTACTTACAAAATCTATGTTGAATTTAGAGAACTGTATCCGCATGTGGAACAAGATTTCTAAATATTACTGTGGTATGGGGTGTTTTGCACTATCTCTGTTTTGACCTCTAAATTTTGCAGTCACCATAGTCACTTTTGCACCCCCTGTGTGGCAACTGGGTTGTAGTGTTTCTAAGACCTACTGCTGGGCTGAGAGGGAGTTTCCAAAAGAATTGGAGAGGTGGAAAATCCCCATGTCCCAAACCAGTTGTATTAGGTTTCACTGCCCTAGTTATGACATTGGAAATAGCTATTCTAATTACTAAAAACTATGCACCAAAAGAAAAATGTGATTCTGGCAGAGAAACTAAGGCAGATGAGAAAATGCAAGAATGTCAAAGTAAAGCCAGTTAGGCTTTGTGGTAACACACAGGCAGTTGCGTGATTTCCCTGTGCTCTTTGGAAACCTTTAAGAAGTCAGAAACAATCATGCTTTCCATTAATTAACAACACAGCATCTTGAAATGCTTGTTTTAAAGCCAGGAGATTTCCGGTTCATCTGCAGATTATAGTAGTATGCTTCTCAGCAAAATCCATCTAATAGTAAACATTAGAGTCTTTCAAGTTATTAAATACGCATAGGTTGTTAAGTAAATTTTAAAGTATTTGTTAAATCAATCAATGAGCAAGAATGCAAACATACCTTTTTTTATCTCTTCAATGAGCTTTCAGTTTAGTTAAAAGGGAGAAAAGGTGCACGCTACAGTTAGAACAATTGACTGGTAAACTAAATGGTACTGAATTAAATTTAGTGTGAATACAGAAAAAGTTGAGGTTAGTATGGGCTGGTATAGTTGAAGGGACAAGAGTGGCACTTGAGATGGGTGTTAGGATGAAGAAGGCCAAGGAAGGGACTCAGCAAAATAAAATAGCTTCATTAAAAGCCACGGAACTTGGGTTAAACACAGTGCTAGCCTGTAGGTAAAGAGAGATGTTGGGGATTTTTGAATGACCAGGTTCATCCATCCATACATCTAATCCTCTATAGTTGTTCATTCAAAGAACATGTATCAAGAGCCAACTGTAAGCCAGACACTATGCTATGGAGTGCCTTGCCAATTAGAATTTGGTTAATGTTTTGACAAAGGCAAAAGAATTTGGACTTAATGTTATGGATTTAAGCAGACAATGACATGATGAAAACCTTTTTTTAGGAAGATTACCCAGGCAACAGGATGGATGGTACTTCCTTTTTTTTTTTTTTTTTTTTTTTTGAGATGAAGTCTTGCTCTTGTCCCCCAGGCTGGAGTGCAATGGCACAATCTCGACTCACTGCAACCTCTGCCTCCCAGGTTCAAGAGATTCTCCTGCCTCAGCTTCCTGAGTAGCTGGGATTATAGGCATGCGCCACCACACCCAGCTAATTTTGTTATTTATTTATTTATTTTTTTCAATAGAGATGAGGTTTCACCGTGTTGGCCAGGCTGGCCTTGAACTCCTGGCCTCCCAAAGTGCTGGGATTATATGCGTGAGCCACCGCGCCTGGCCCTCTGCTTCCCTCTTTTCTAATCTGATGGTTAAGCCCTTAGCATTCCCTTGACTCTGGAACTTTTGCAGAGCAAAGAGCAGAGGCTGTTTGAAGCCAACTGCATTTCTAGACTTTTATGAAATTCTAAGCCCACTGCGAAGATTGAGCCAGATGTCCCATTGGGGAAGAGAGGAGACAGAAAAGTTTTTGAAGTCAGCGAAGAGGAGAGAGTGACATTTCACACAGATGGAAAGAGACTGGAGGTCAAAGAGTAACAAGTACCCACCTCCATTCCATATCAGTGCCCTGGAGAAGCAGCAGGACCTCAGAGAGGGAAGTAATGGGGTGACTTGGAGAGGCTGCACTTTAGCAGGGGATTCTGGCTCCATAAAAGGTTAAATATAGCAAGCTTCTAGGGTTGGCAAAACCATGCTTACTGAGGCAGGGGTGGTTTAGTGGCAGATCAACGATCAGAGTAGTCTCCTTGGTGCTTTGGTACCAGGTAAAACCTAGGGACCTTTAAATAGCTGAGAAAGTAGGGAGAGGAGGAAATATCAAACGTATGAAATTGAATTTCTCACCATCCTGATTCAGACAGGGGCTTTAAATTGATGACTACCTTAGATTTATGAACTAAGAGTCATACACTATGAACTTTTGTTCGTTGGTGCTCAGTCCTAGACCCTTTTCACCTCTCTATTCTCTTCTGGTGTCATCTCATCCTTTCCCATCTTTATACCAGTGGCTTCCAATTTATGTTTTTATTGTAGAATTCTCATCTGAGTGCCACTCTCAAATACCTGGTTACCTATTTGATATCTGCATGTGGATGTGTCATAGACATCTCAAAATTACCGTAGGAAAGACTGATCTCCTGACTGTTGTCTTCCCCTTGTTTAAAGTGCCTCCCTTTCCTCCTAATACTTTATATGAGGAGTCAGAAAACTATGGACTGTGGACCAAATCCAGCCCCCACCTGTTTGTGCAAATACAGTTTTGTTGGAACACAGCCATGTTCATTCTTATGTGTTGTGTGTGACTGTTTTTATGCAACAATGGCAGAAACTTTACAGCCTGCAAAGCTTATTTACTATCTGGCCCTATACAGAAAAAGTCTACCAATTCCTGCTCTTTGCTTTCTTCAATGTATTTATCACAATTTGAAGTTATATATTTGTTTCATTATCTGCTTATTTATCTGCCTCCTTCCATAGAAGGTAATTCTCTAGTGCCTACCATGACAGCACCATTGCCTAGTCATGGTAGGCACTCAATTGTTATTGAATAGAATGTATGAATGAGAAAATGAACTATTATATATTAAAATTTTATTTTGGTCTTTTGCCTTAGCACAAAACTTTCATCCTTCCTTACCCTCCAATGACTTCATATCTTTGTTTTGTTTTGTTTTTTTCCGAGACGGAGACTTGCTGTGTTGCCCAGGCTGGAGTGCAGTGGCACTATCTTGGCTCACTACAACCTCCACCTCCCGGGTTCAAGCAATTCTTCTGCCTCAGCCTCCCCAGTAGCTGGGATTACAGGCACGCGTCACCACACCTGGCTAATTTTTGTATTCTTAGTAGAGACAGGGTTTCACCGTGTTGGCCAGGCTGGTCTCAAACTCTTGACCTCATGATCCTCCCACCTCGGCCTCCCAAAGTGCTGGGATTACAGGTGTGAGCCACCATGCCTGGCCCTAATGACTTCATATCTTAAGTAACAAGAGTGCTAAAATAATGAGTCCCCTCAATTTCTTTGCCCTCTACTCTATCCTCCTTTCAGATTAATCTTTCTAAAACAGAGCTCAGATATCACTCTCCCTCAAAGAAACCTGGAGACCCAATGACTTGTCCATTAATCCTAAACTTCTTTACCTGCTTCTTAAAGTTCTCTGAATCTGGCTCCACTCTATTTTTCTGTCCCCCTATATTCTATTCCTGCTACTACTTCTCTACCCTGAACTTCCCCACCTCTATACTTCATACACTTGGAATATTCTTTTCTATCACTACCACCTCCACCTGTCAAAATCCTATCCACCCTTCAAGTATTTCCTCCAAGCTGCCTTTCTGAGTACCACCAAAAGACATCTTTCTCTTCTTCCATCTTCCAAAATACTTTTTGTACCTATAGTAACTTGTATGTCATTTCTCCATACTGCGTTTTCCCCATTAACTGGTAAGCTACTTAAGAAAAGGAACCACAGCTTTCTCATCTTGGTATCTGCTATGGTTTGAAAGTTTGTATTCCCCTCCAAATTCATATGTTGAAATCCTAACCCCCAACATAATGGTATTAGGAGGTGGGGGATTTGGGAGAGATTAGTGTCCTTATAAAAAGAGACCTCAGAGAGTTAGCTAATCCCTTCTACCATGTGAAGACACAGCAGGAAATCCATAAACCAGAAAGTGGGCCCTCACCAGACACTGAAAATGCCAGTGCCTTGATCTTGGACTTCCCAGCCTCCAGAACTGTGAGAAATGAATTTCTATTGTTTATAAGCCACTCAGTCTATGGTATTCTGTTATAGCAGCCTGAGTGGACTAAGACTGCTTCTGAAGTATTTGGAACAGTATCTTTCTAGATCTCAATAATCATTGAATGAATGAATAAAGAAATGCCTTTCCTTTTCATATCTACTTAGTAAAATCCTACTCATTCCTCAGAGACCAAAATCTTTGCTTCTGACCCCAGTCCATGATGATTTTTCCTTTCTGTACTGCCTTGTATTTTTTTCATCAGTGACTTTCTCCTATTGTAATCTCTAGAAGGTAGAGACTAAATCCTGCACATCTTTGTGTTCTTCTTCCTTCACCTAACAGTACCTTGTGCATTACAAGTGCTCAGTAAATATTTTTGATTAAGTTGTAAAGCAGCTGCCTATTTTTCCACTTCCTTTGCTGCTCAAAAGGATTAGAGCAATGATTGCTTTAGCTGCTAAGGCCTGCTTCAGAGACACATTATTAATGAAGGTTGTCTGGGAGACAGTAATGTTGAACGGGGATTTGTAAATGAGTCTCCAGCTTCAACATTCATCAGCAAAAGAAGGGGATACTGAAAAGCTACTCTAAAAAAAAATCTCATATGAAGTTGTCCGGAGCTGCCTGAGCTACTAATCACTGCAAGGTTTTCAGTCTCTGCCTTGAGCATTTAGAGCACATTCTTGCCTTAACCTCCAAGTCAGATCTCTCCATGGTAACGCAGGAATGTTTGCTATTTTAGGAAATATGCCTCACTGCATGCAGTACTATTTACATTAAGTTCCAAACAAGGCATAAATGCAACAGCTTGACTGTGCTAATTTGTGTGAGTGGGAAGGTCTCACTTACTTAATGTGGGCCTCTCCCTAATTGTGTTATCCTGTTTCATTTTATAAGCCAACCACAGTGAGATTACATGTTAATAAATTTTGCTCATCTTATACTGAAGGAGAAATGCAGAGAGAGAAAAAAGGCGACAAACAAAACAAGAATTCCTCCAGACCTCCCTTTGCAAGGGCATCATTTTTTCTGCCTTCACACCCTCCAGGTCTGGTTTCATTTAAAACCTTCATTGAGATGAAGCTTCTAACATTCTGTAGAAGGAAATAATATCAATAACTGAAACAATTGCTAGCTTTTCCCTGCAACTTTGTAGATACCTTTACTGAGGAAGAGAAAAATGCTTTGTAAACTTTATTAGATTTTCTGACTCCCTAGTGAAAAAGATGTGGACAAGATGTCACAGCCTCACATCAAAAAGCTCCTCAACACTCTGATCACACATACTATTGATCTGAATGGACATCAAGAAGGATTGGAAGGAGATATGGAATGATGTCAGTCAATGGCATATCTAGTTGGTGGTACTTTTTTTGCTTTACAAGAAGTTAATTATAGACGTTCATAAATATTGTGCAAGTGCACTCCCACTAAAATGAATGTTGTAGAATGTTTTGGTAGAATGGAAAAGGAAAACAGCTAGAAAGACTGTAAGATCAATTAAATAAAATAATCTTTATCAAAAGTGTCTGTCTTATTTGAGAGAATGAAGACTCTGAAGTGAACTTCCTGTACTCAGATATTACAGTGAGTATATTATACTCATACTCCAGACTTTCATACTGGGATCACTTGAGAGATAGTTATCTGTGGGATGTGGAGTAAATGAGCGTTCTTCACTTGGACAATTCAGACCTAGAAGTGCAAGATCTGTGAGCTCTTCTTTCTTCTAGGGCCCAACTGTTTGTGGTATTCTCAGTTGTGAAGTATAGGTGGAATTAAAGGAAGTGAATAGGTCTTTAGAACTTAAGCTCCTCCATATTCCAGCTGAATCAGTGAGGGATTCCAGGGATGGCTTCACTGGAGATGAGGAGATTCTTTAGCCTCTGAAGAACAGGCCCAGAGCTTAGAAATTGAACTTTTACCTTCCACATTGTAAGGGTCTTTCTTCTGTGGTGACAGTTGGCATGGCAGACAAGGTTTGAGTAGAATACAGTGGAACTATAACTGTTACAGTGAAAGTATACTGTTAGCAGAGAAGGATAACACCCACAACATAGGCTCCAAGTGTCACAAATAGCAAGGTTCACCATACATTACCTATGCAGAGGGGAGAGACAAAGTGCTTTGTAATTGGTTTTATAATATTCTTTTCCCCAACCAATTCAAAGAACAGACTTGACAAAGCAGTTCATAGCTGTGTCAGATTATGATTTGCTCTCTGAGGAGGTGACATCAATTATCTCAGATGCTCTTCAAGCAATCCTCAGTTTCCACGACAACTAGGATTACCTTTCTAAATGCAAATCATATGCTTTTATTCCCCTTGCTTTTTTTTTTCTGGTGCCTACAACATGAAGCCCTTAGCTCAACATTTATGGTACTTTCCAGCTATATATTTTATCATTCTCCAATACTTATTTTTGGTAACATCGATTACTCCCAATTCCTTAGCTGTGTTCCACATCACTGTATATATTGCTCCGTTTCCTATTTTCTGCCTGGTGTATCCAGTCTTTAAGGCCCAACAGAAGGGTGACCTCCAGGTGAGTTCCTCCTTGGAGTTAATTCCTTTCAGCTGTGGGTTCCTTTAGCACCATGCGTGTATTTCTGTCTCCTCATTTATCACACTGTATTTTAGTTCTTTGTTTACATACCAGTCTTTCACTGGACTATAAACCTTTGGAAGGCTAGGACTCCCTATACTAGTGGTACTCACTGAGCAACTGTCTCATCTCCTAGAGAGCATTTTGAAATTTTGTGGGGGTGTTTCTTGTTTTTGATGTTGTCACGATGATAAGTGAGGCAAGGGATGTTACAGGACAAAGTATTGTACCAAATTCCAAATGACTTTTGGAATTTGAATGTTCCATTGGGTGATGATAAAACTGTTTACAATCATCTGAACCTAGAACTTAATATATATATAGGAGCATGATGTTAATTTACACTAAATTTTTCCATGAATTAAACTACTATGTAAATTGAGGGAAGACACTACCAGTCCTTGGGCCCAATTTTTTTTCCCATAAGACGTAGACCCAAAGGGAGAAACAAGGAAATATGCTATGGGAGGCTTTCTATTCTCCACACTTGAGAGGACCAACTATCAGCGGCCTCCTGTGGCAGAGCTTTCCAACTTGGGTATTCCAGCACAGTGTACCTCAGCATGGTCCACCACTGTGCAAAGACGCTGATCCCCTCAGCTCTCAGGGTGGTGCATGGGTCCTGAGGTGGCCATAAGCAATTGCCTCAAACCATGAGCAGCCATGGGCACTTATTTCAGAATACCATAGATGTACACTCATTTCCTATGAAAATGAATTTTCTATGAAAAAGGGTAGGAAACATTGTCTTATAGAACAAACAGCGCAATGTATCAGGTTTTGAAATGTACAATGTATTGGGTAATAACAACAATAAATTTTCATTAGGCAATGTTTAAAAAGCATATCAATTTAGTACAGTTTATATGATTTGATGCATTTCTTCTGCCCAATGGTCATGCAATATTATCCCCTGGATGCTGTACTTATTCTTGTTCTAAGCATCCTTTTAGAGTAGAATATAAATAATTTAGTCTCTTTGAAATTATAATCTTTTGGTTCTTTAAGTCTGTTCTGAAAACTGGTACCAAACCAATTCCTTAATTAGCATTGAAAATACTGAACTAAATATATTCATTTCAGTGCTTACCAAAGATGATGAAAATAAGTATATGTACAAAATATTTTAGTATTTATGTGCCTGTAAATACAAAAGGAGCAATAAAAGTGATTTCATTTCAGAAGGTGAACATTTTGAAAGAAATAATATTCATGTAAATTCTGAACTAAAATAGAATGAAATAAAATTCTGAAATAAGATAAAAATAGAATGTTAGCATTATAGGAAACTATGGAGATTATTTGAGCTAATCTTCTCATTTTATGTATATGGAAGCTGAGAAGTGACATATCCATAGTCATACAGCTAATAAATAATCAGGATGGAATCGCTTCTCGGCCTTTTGGCTAAGATCAAGTGTAGTATCTGTTCTTATCAGCTTAAATAATCAGGATGGAAATTCAATTCTTCTTATTCTCAGTTGAGCTTTTTCTAATTAAATGCATTACGAAATATTTTCAAGAGTCCCTTAAGAAAATTTCCACATATTTCAACATGTATCTTGCAAAAAGCCTATGAACTTCAATTTGTATTCATACTTGTAAAATTATGTTCACACATTATTTCTTGAGTTTGTTAACCAATGCTTTCCAACCAAAATGGAGCTGCAGTCTAAGAAGTTTGTAATTGTGGCCAAGATAGTAATTTTTTCCTGCCCTCATAGTGGCCTAAGCACCCAAATTGGCCACCTCCAAGTGAGAAGCTTCATCCATTTACCTCTATACCTTACAAATATTATCATTTGCCATGAAATGGAAAGGTTGGGAAGCAATGGTTTAAACTAATTCTTATCATTGCTCTTTTATCTTGACCCCAACCTTTCCATATGTGAACCAGTAAAGTAAACCACCCACATTTTGTCTTATCAGTAGTCTAAGACCAGTGCAAGAATGTAAGGATACCAGGTAATTGCTTTTGTTGTTTGGGTGCAGGTATATTCTAAAGTTCTTTTAGAAAATATCTTTTTAGTAAATTAAAAGTTGAATGAAGGAGAGGAGTTCCCTTCGAGGTAACTTCCCAGAAAATCAATGCAATTATTTTTTACCACAGTGAGTTCTCTTTTCAATATTAAAACTACATTATGGCCAGGTGTGGTGGCTCACGCCTGTAATCCCAGCACTTTGGGAGGCCAAGGCGGGCAGATCACCTGAGGTCAGGAGTTCGAGACCAGCCTGGCCAACATGGTGAAACCCCATCTCTACTAAAAATACAAATATTGCTGGGTGTGGTGGCATGCACCTGTAATCCCAGCTACTCGGGAGGCTGAGGCAGAGGTTGCAGTTAGCCGAGATCATCCCACTGCACTTCAGCCTGGGCAACAGAGTGAGACTCCAACTCAAAAAAAAAATTTTTTTTTGGAGGCAAATTTCTATCATTATCTGATACACTTGTACGGAAATAGTAATCACCATTTCAACTAGTACCCAGCACATTTTCAAGGACCTGGAAGGTTCATACTCCAATATATACAAACAGAGAATATGCCTAGCTCATAGATGATCAATAACTGTTTATTTGAACCCACAGTTTGTGTACTTCGGCACAGTATTTTACAACTTAACCCTCAAAAAAACCCCTAAAACATTGTATGTTCTATATAATTATAAATCACTTGATGTGGCTGGCAAATTCTAAGGTGGTCCCTATAATTCTCACCCACTGGCCATCACATCTTTGTGTTATCCTCACCCCTTGAGGATGGGTAGAACCTGTAACTTCTAACCAATATGGCAAAGGTCATGAAATGTCACTGCATAGTTATGCTATGTTATATGAAAAAAGTAAAGAGGTCATATAGATGTAATTAGGGCTGCTAATCAGTTGATTTTAAGTTAACAAAAAGGGATATTATGCTGGTGGGCCTGCCCTAATGAGCCCCTTAAAAGAAAGTCTAGAAGTGAGAAAAGTAACAGACTCTTTCTGCTGCTGGCTATGAAGAAGGAAGCTGCCATAACTTCTACAGCTACACAGCAATAAATCCTTCCAACAGCCTGAGGAGCTTAGAAGCCGATCCTTCCCTAGGTATGCCTCCAGATGAGAAAAGAGCCCAGTCTACACCTTGATTTCACACTTATGAGACTCCAAACAGATCTCAGCTAAGCCATATCTGGACTCTTGACTCACAGAAACTGTGAGATAACAAAAATAAGGTGTTTTAAACTGCTAAGTTTGTAGTAATCTGTTACACAACAATAGATAACAAATACACTTAGATATTAAAAAGCAGGGCTTATGAAAGCATGAAGCAAGTGCTTCTGGATGTACTGACCAAACCTTACCTGCACTTCCATGCTAGTTGGCTCCTCCAACAGATGTAGCAGTTGTTGTTTCTCCCGAGATAGCTGTTCTACAAGCCTCTCCTGGGCAGCCAGGCTCTGATTCAGTTCTTCAATTCTCCTGAAGCAAAGGAAAAGTAAGGACAATAATTATGATCATGATACTATTATTACCTTATTTTTTCAGCCCATTCCAAAGATAGCATGGTCTAGTATAGCAGGTTTTTATCCTTTTGGATCATTGAACCTTTTGATACATTTCTTTAGAAAAGCATGTATTTTCTGCTCAGCCCCCAAATATATACACAAACAACTTTTTGCTTACATTTTCACCACATTCATGGACCTCCTGAAGTTCATCCATGGATCTTTAGACCATAGGAATTTAACTCTTGGAATAAGGGCCTAGAATTTTTTGGTGGTGGTGGTAGTGGCTGTTCCATTCAATAAACGGTTCTTGGATAACTATTTTGTGTACTCAATGCACTCTACCAAGTACTGGAAATATGAAGTTGGGAAAGAAACAATCGCTGTTTTGCAAAAATTTAAATTCCACCAGCATGTGTTTGCTAGTGATTTGGAGAGTAAGAAGACACACAGCTACAGTCACGTACCATATACTGTTTCTGTCAACATTATGTCATCATACTGCATGTATGATGATGGTCCGATAAGATTATACTGGAGCTGAAAAATTCCTATCACCTAGTAAAGTCCTAGCTGCAGTAACATCATAGTGCAATGTATTTCTCACTTGTTTGTGGTGTTGCTGGTGTAAAGCAAACCTACTGCGCTGGCAGTTGTATACAAATATAACATATGTATAGTATGTAATACTTGATAATAAATGTTACTGGTTTATGTATTTACTATACTATACTTTCATTGTCGTTTTAGAGTGTACTCTTTCTACTTATTAAACAAAATAACTGTAAAGTAGCCTCAGGCAGGTCCCTCAGGAGCTATTCCAGAAGAAGGCATTGTTATCATAGGAGATGACAGCTCCATGTGTGTTATTGTCCCTGAAGACCTTCCAGCGGACAAGATGTAAAGGTGGAAGACAGTGAAGCTGATGATCCTGACACTGTGTAGGCCTAGGCTTGTGTGTATGTTTGTGTCTTAGTTTGTAACAAAAAAGTTTAAAAAGTAAAAAAAAAAAAATTAAAAATTTAAAAACAGAATAAACCTTTTCTAGAATAAGGATATAAGGAAAATATTTTTATATGACTACAAAATGTGTTTTAGGCCTTCACATTCATTCACTTCACTACTCACTCGCTAAATCACCCACAGCATGTTCCAGTGCTGCAAGTTCCATTTATGGTCAGTGCCCTAAACAGGTGTACTGTTTGTTATCTTTTATACAGTATTTTTACTGTATCTTTTCTATGTTTAGATACACAAATGGTTACCATTGTGTTACAATTGCCTACAGTATTCAGTACAGTAATATGTCATACAGGTTTGTAGCCCAGAAGCCATAGGCTATACCATATAGCCTAGGTGTGCAGTAGCCTATCCCATCAAGGTTTGTGTAAGTATGCTCTGTGATGGCCACACAATGAAGAATGAAATTGCCTAAAGATACATTTCTCAGAACATATCCCTGTAGTTTGTGATGCATGATTGTATATAAGCAAATAATAGTAATAGAATATAATAAATGCTACCAGAATAGAGGCACCATATAGTACATTGAGTGCTGCCATAGAGCTATAGGATGAAAGATAAAGAAATAATTCATTTGACTTGAAGGAGTATAGCGATGCTCAGGAGAAGAAATTTTAAAGATTGAGTGGTTTCAGAGTAAACAGACAACCTACAGAATGGGGGAAAATATTTGAAAACTATGCATTGGACAAAGGTCCAATATCCAGCATCTATAAGAAATGTAAACAAATATACAAAAGAAAAGCAACCCCATTAAAAAGTGGGCAAAGGACATAAACAGACACTTCAAAAGACGTACCTGCAGCCAACAAGCATATGATAAAAAGCTCAATAACACTGATCACTAGAGAAATGCAATCAAAACCACATGTGATACCATCTCACACCAGTCAGAATGACTATGGTTAAAAAGTCAAAAAATAACAGACGTTAGTGAGGTTGCAGAGAAAAGGAAACACTTATACACTGTTGGTGGGAGTGTTAAATTAGTTCAACCACTGTAGAAAGCAGTATGGTGATTCCTCAAAGAACAAAAAGCAGAACTACCATTCGACCCAGCAATCCCATTTCTGGGTATACTCAGAGGAATATAAATCATTCTACCATGAAGACATATGCATGCAAATGTTCACTGCACACTATTTACAATAGCAAAGACTTGGGTGGTTTTCCAGGCTCAGAAGGAGGAGATTGAACAAAGGAACAAAGGCATGAAGACCCAGTGTACAATTTGGGAAGAGTCACTGGAACAAAGGCCCAGGGAAGAGGCAATGGCTGGAGAAGAGACTGAAAATTCAGACCCTCAGACTAGGGTTAAGTTGTAAAATACTGTGCTGAGGTATACAAACTATGGGTTCAAATAAACTTATTGATCATCTATGTGCTAGGCATATTCTCTGTTTGTATATATTGGAACATGAACCTTCCAGGTCCTTGAAAATCTGCTGGGTACTAAATGAAATGTTTCCAGTTGTGATTCTTTTTTTTTTGAGATGGAGTCTTGCTCTGTCACCAGACTGGAGTGCAGTGGCGCAATCTTGGCTCACTGCAACCTCCACCTCCCTGGTTCAAGCGATTCTCCTGCCTCAGCCTCCTGAGTAGCTGGGACTACAGGCATGCGCCACCATGCCCAACCAATTTTTGTATTTTTAGTTGAGATGGGGTTTCACCATGTTGGCCAGGATGGTCTTAATCTCGTGATCCGCCTGCCTCGGCCTCCCAAAGTGCTAGGATTACAGGTGTGAGCCATGATTCCCAGGAGAAATAACTTTTAAAACTTAAAAACATTGGGCTGGGTATGGTGGCTCATGCCTGTAATCCCTGTAATCCCAGCACTTTGGGAGGCTGAGGCAGGTGGATCACCTGAGGTCAGGAGTTTGAGATCAGCCTGACCAACATAGTGAAACCCTGTCTCTACTAAAAATACAAAAATTAGCTGGGCGTGGTGGTGCACGCCTGTAATCCCAGCTACTCGGGAGGCTGAGGCAGGAAAATCGGTTGAACCTGGGAGGCAGAGGTTGCAGTGAGCCGAGATCTTGCCACTGTACTCCACCCTGGGCAACAGAGCGAGACTCTATCTCAAAACAAAAACAAAAACAGAAACAAAAAATTAAAAACATTATACAAATGTAAACTGCAATGATGACGAGAAGGAGGAATGTGGACTCCGTATGAAATTCCCTCGTGGTATCTGCACTAGAACATCTCTACTTTTCTTAAACCTCAAACTTTGCTCATCTCTTTGACCCTTAGTCTCTACAGAGGATCTGTTCTCCTACTCTCCAAAATTGTTCAAGGTCATCTGATGAGTGGCCTCAATTTATTTTCAGATGTGCATGTGCTTTACTTGGGGCTTTGTTTTGGTTTTTAGTTCAGTTTTTTTTTATTGGGGTTCAAATATGACACTGTCTTGGGGAACCTAGTAGGGAAAATCTGAAAGCAAATACAGTACCATACTGAGAATTGTACAATATGTATATATATATATATATATATATATATATATATATATATATATATATATATATATATATATATAAAAGAAACAATACAGAAACTTCATTCTGCTATCACAAAGCCTTCAAAGAAATGACGATTGATGCCTTAGTGAGGTTCACTAGAAGGGAAAAAGTTGGCAGATGTTTCCCACAGAAGGAAAAGCATGAGCAAAATTCTGGAGACTTGCCATAGCTTCTTATGCTTCTGGAGGCAGTATGGCTTCAGGGTTTGGATGTCAGCAATCCCTGAAACCATGTTTCACAAGTCTCCAGATGCCAATTTTTTCATTAATAAAGTATAATAATTCATATCTCATGGGGCTGTTAAACAAGAACATAAAGTACTCAGCTGTATGGTAAGAGCTCAACAAAGCTTAGCCATCATTATTATTACTAGCCTGGCATGAATGAAGTTAAGGAATGGTGGTGGGTGATGAGTGTGGGAGAAATCAGAGGTTACATCATAAAAGGCTTTGATGGCCACATTAGGAGTATGGATCTTATCTCCTAAAGGTATTGCAAAGTTCTTAAATGGCTCTGCCATGGTGCGATTAAATTTATGTCTTGGAAAGATCACATTGGTCATGGTATGCACATGTGGTTTTTGCCTATTCAGTTAAAAGCTCCTTAAAGCTTTTTATACCACCACAGTCTTATGCACCTAAGAGGCTAAATTATTTGCCAATTTGTTGTGGTTGAATTATCTATTTCAGAACTACTCTGAATTATTAGGTTGAGATTGAATGAGAGGAGCAGGACTGGAAGTGGAGAGGACATTTAGAAAGTTTCCTCGGTAATCCAGACAGTAGATGGTGGTGACCTCAATAATTGCCCAGTTACCTTCAGGACAAAGTCCAAGTTCCTTATAATGGTATACAAAGCTGGCACAATCAGACCCTTATTCTCAAAACAGCTTACCTCTCACTTGTCTTCTCACTTGCTCCAGTTATGTACAATTATTTAAAGTTCTTGAAATATTCCTTTCCCTGTGTCTTCCCTCCATAGTTTCTCCTTCTGCATAGAATATTTCCTTTCCCTATCCACTTTCTACCTATTTATTCTACCTCCTATTCATCCTTCAAAGCTCAGCTCAGATTTCGCTTCCTCTAGGAAACCTTCAATGGCATTATCTTAGTCTTTTTGGGCTGCTATAAAAAAACACCATAAACTGGGAGGCTTATAAACAACGGAAATGTATTTCTCACAGTTTTGGAGGCTGGGAAGTCCTAGATCAAGTCACTGACAGGTTCAATGTCTGGTGAAGGTTCACACTCTGGCTCATAACGGTGCATTCCCACTATATCCTCACATAGTAGAAGGGGCTAACTAGCTCTCTGGGGTCTCTTTTACAAGCGTATTAATCCCATTTATGAGGGCTCCATCTCCAATGTCTATGATTTAATCACCTCCTAATGGCTCCACCTCATAATACTTCTGGAGGCAGAAGTATTAACCTTAAGGGTTAAGATTTCAACATATAAACTGGTGGGGGAGGGAGGTGGGGATGGGACACAAACATTCAGACCACAGCAGACAACTTGCTCTTTTAATGTGGAATGGATGACCCTCCAATATTTCCCCAGAGCACCCCATGCTCTTCTATCAGGGAACTTATTAAAATCATGTAACATGTTTCTTGGTGACAAGAATTAGGTCTTTTGTTTCTGTAACACATGCCAGATACTTAGCCCGGTATCTGGCATGTGGCATGCCCAGTAAATGTTTGCTGAATAAGTGAATCCATGTCTCTTGCTTGCCGCTATTTGCCCACTGAATCCATGAAGTGAGTTTTCATAATGGATACCACTGAAAATTCAACCCTGAAAAGAATGTCTTCGGTTGTGGGACCATAAAGTCTTAGAAATAGTGAAGCTCCTACTGTCAGTCCTTGAAAGGGAACAGGACAGCTGCTGTATGCCTTGAGAATGGGCAAAAGACAAGCGACAAAAAGAGCACCGAAGGCACCTACTTGTCCCTCTGGGCCAGGGTCTCAGTGTATTGGTCGGGCTTGACCTGGTCTCCTGGTACATCTTCCCAGTTTTTGGTGACTCCCTTCAGTTTCTCTGAGAGCTCCAGGTTACACTCCTTCTCTGCTTCCACCAGAGCTGCCATCCGCGCAGCTTCATTCTTTGCTAGCCTGGATTCCTGGAAAAAGAACAAAAACTGAGAGGCTGCAAAATTTCTACCTAGATTAGGAGCCCTAAGACCCAGGAACATTGATGAATTTCAGAGGGAAAGTAGAGACGGAAAAGGTGAATGCCAGAAGGCAGAGCAGTAGGAAGAGGAGTGTTAATAAAAGAGAACCCCTACCTATGGACTTTGGGAACTCCTCACCTCCTGCAGAAGCTGGATCTTATTCTCCAAGAGCTCATAAACATGCTCCGTCTCCTGCTGTCGCTCCTCAAACTGGCGTCGGAGCTCAGCTTCATTCTGACTGTTGAGATTCTCCACATCACCCCTAAAACCACAGAGCATTAGCCAATCAGAGCCAGACATGCAGTTTAGCCAGTGGAACCATTAAAGTTGTTCTTTGATAAATCTCCAAACTGCTTGCTGCAGTGACTGAACTGGTTTATATTTCCACCAACAGCGTGTAAGCATTCCCATTTCTATGCAGCCTCACCGGCATCTGTTGTTTTTAGACGTTTTAATAGTAGCCATTCTGACTGGTGTGAGATGGTATCTCATTGTGGTTTTGATTTATATTTCTCTGATGATTAGTGATGTGGAGCAATTTTTCATATATTTGGTGGGCATTTGTATGTCTTCTTTTGAAAAGTGTTTGATCATGCCTTTTGCTCATTTTTTTAACGGGGTTATTTGTTTTTCATTGTTCAATTGTTAAATTCCTTATGGATTCTGGATATTAGACCCTTTTCAGATGCTAGTTGCAAATTTTTTTAGATTCTAGAGGTTGTCTGTTTACTCTGTTGATAGTTTCTTTTGCTGTGCAAAACTCTTTAGTTTAAATAAATCCGACTTGTCTCTTTTTGTTTTTGTTGCAATTGCTTTTGAGGATTTAGTCATAAATTCCTGAGGCCAATGTCCAGAATGGTGTTTCTTGGGTTTTCTTCTAGGATTCTTATAGTTTGAGGTCTTACATTTACATCTTTACTCCATCTTGAGTTAATTTTTATATGTGCTGAAAGGTAGGGGCCCAGTTTCATTCTTTTGCATATGGCTAGCCAGTTATCTATCCCACCACCATCGAATAGGGGAGTGCTTTCCCCACTGCTTATTTTTGTTGATTTTGTCGAAGATCAGATTGCTGTAGGTGTGTAGCTTTATTTTTGGGTTCTCTATTTGCTTCCATTGGTCTATGTGTCTTTTTTTTTTTCCAGCAACATGCTGTTTTGGCAACTGTAGCCTTGTAGTATAGTTTGAAGTTGGATAGTGTGATGCCTCTGGCTTTGATCTTGGTCATTTGATGAATGACATTGGTAGTTTGATAGGAATAGTGTTGAATCTGTAGATTGCCTTCGGCAATATGGCCATTTTAATGATATTGATTCTTCCAATCCATGAGCATGGAATGTTTTTCCATTTGTTTGTGTCATCTATGATTTCTTTAAGCAGTGTTTCATAGTTCTCCTTGTAGAGATCTTTCACCTCCTTGGTTAGATGTATTCCAAGGTATTTTTTTTTTTTAGCGGATATTGTAAATGGGATTGCATTCTTGATTTGGCTCTCAGCTTGAATGTTATTGGTGTGTAGAAATGCTACTGATTTTTTTTTTTTTTTGAGACGGAGTCTGGCTCTGTCGCCCAGGCTGGAGTGCAGTGGCATGATCTCGGCTCACTGCAAGCTCCGCCTCCCGGGTTCACGCCATTCTCCTGCCTCAGCCTCCCAAGTAGCTGGGACTACAGGCGACTGCCACCACACCCGGCTAATTTTTTTTTTCTATTTTTAGAAGAGACGGGGTTCACCGTGTTAGCCAGGATGGTCTCGATCTCCTGACCTCGTGATCCACCCACCTCGGCCTCCCAAAGTGCTGGGATTACAGGCGTGAGCCACCGTGCCTGGTAAAATGCTACTGATTTTTGTACATTAATTTTTGTATTCTGAAACTTTATTGAAGTCTGAAAATATTTTTAATAATTTTAGCAATACTTGTCATTTAACACTAAGCTTTTAAAAAACTGTAAATTATAAAAGTAACCATTTTAGCAATATAAATGTATATAAAGAAAAATATCAAGTCTTCTCCCTATCACGGACTGTGATCTCACTCTTCCTCAGTATACTATAAATATCACTCAGCAACTTTTCCCCCTTACTTTAATCAAGGAATTCCCACTAGGACAATAATATAGAGCTAACTCATTCTTCAATAACTGCATAATAGTCCACAGTGTAGTAATACCAAAATTTATTCAATCAATTGAGTCTTGCCTTGGTCCACAGCCTCTCACCTCATCTCTGCCCTCTTTGTGAACCTTGACATAATTAGGGATTTAGTTGGATCAGCAATCTAGTCAAGGAAGAATAAACTGTAGAGCTTCAGGGTTTCCCCTGAGCTACTTATCAATTTTCCCAACCTATTTATCATTACCCCTGGATCATGAACACTGCTTAAGTCTATTCGTTCTCTAAACCATTGCAGGACAGAGTATATATTAAAATAAATTTTTCCTATCTAATACAGGTTGTTCCTGAAAACGAAATTGCTAGAATAATACTTTTAATAGAATTATAGTAATAGAACAATACTTTTAAATGCCTGGGGATTCAATTATTTAAAGAAATTTGGTTGTAAACATTTTTAAAAACAATGCTTTTATCATAAAATTGGAATTTTATAAATTAGGTTTGCTTAAGGTGAGAGGGGACTCTGATGGTAAAGTTATACAGGGAACAATTAATTTTTATTGAGGTGAGGATGCAACAAGTAAGATTTGGGGAAACAGAAATAAGGAAATAAAAACATCCCAAGTGTGTCTGGTGCAGGTTAAGTGGCTTAGTGTGTGGTAAGGAGTATAGAAAATAGTTTGCAACTAGTTTGTGAAAATCCTGCTAAGACAACTAGATAGGCCGGCCACGGTGGCTCACACCTATAGTCCCAGCACTTTGGGAGGCCAAGGCAGGCAGATCACTTGAGGTCAGGCTTTCGAGACCAGCCTAACCAACATGGTGAAACCTCATCTCTGCTAAAAATACAAAAATTAGCTGGGCGTGGTGACATGCGCCTGTAATCCCAGCTACTTGGGAGGCTGAAACAGGAGAATCGCTTGAACCCAGGAGGTGGAGGTTGCAGTCAGCCAAGATCATGCTGCTGCACTCCAGCCTGGGTGACAGAGAGAGACTCTGTCTCAAAATAAAAAAAATTAAAAAAGTAAAAAACTGGATAATAATCAGTAGAAATCAAAGACTTATCAGGGAGCTTTAAGCAAAGTATTGGCATGATCGGGTCCATGTTGAAGAAGGAATTATGAAGAAGGTGGGTGGGTCAGGGGCAACTAACCAGAATAGGGAGGGGGACTGTCTAAGGACAAGAGGTACAGGGAGAAAGACTCAAAAGACATTTCAGAGACAGAAGCCACAGGCCTTGATGACTTGTGAGATTCAGATTAGACTGGAGGGAGGACCAAAGACAATGCTGAAATTTCCAGCATGTCAGTGGGAATGCATTCTATTAACTAAAATAGGGGCAGGTTTGTAGGGGAACCTAAGGAGGTTTCTGCAAAATGTTAATTGTGGGATTACTTTATTTCAGCTTAAATGTTAGCATGCAAAGATGGATTAGTCCCTTCCCTGATGAAGTCCATAATACAGTATTAGGCAAGAAGAATGTTATTTAGTAAAGAAGTCTTTAGATCAGAGGTTGACAGAGAGACTGAAGGTAAAGTAGCTAAAGTATGAAAAGTAGTATTGTGGGTACTAGAACAGTAGGGAGGATTTTACTTTACTATCGCCATATAATAACCACCAACACCTAGACTTCTAGAAGTCCAAGGCAACACACAATAGCAGCATATTTTCTACCATACTTGTGAAGGCATTTCATAACCCATGTTTCCATGCAGGGTGGTTGAAACACAAATACTAATTGGGAAAAGTAGAAACCTGGTTTAGATATTTGAGAGTTACTTAGAATTAAAGAATTTTAGAGCTGGAAGGCAGTTGGACTCAAGGCATTTTAGATCATATTACTAGTACTTTTTTAGTGACATACTGAGAAGAATGTTTATTCCCCTCATAAGTAGGTACCTTTTGACCAAGGTTAGAACATAGATTCAGATCCAGTGAGATGAAAATATCCTAATTTCTTCAAAAGAAGGGAATGATAGCCCTGTCTTTTCAGGATATCCTTTAAAGTTATTATTTTATGAACACTAAATAGCATTACCAGATTTAGCAAATAAAAATATAAGATATCTACTTCAATTTAAATTTCAGATAAACAACAAATAATTTGTTTCATTAGAAGTATATCCTTTGCAATATTTGAGACATAACTTAAACGCTAAAACATTGTTTGTTGTTTATCTGAAATTTAAATTGAATTGAGTACCCTGTATTTTATTCTGCAATACAAATACCAAAAGATTAACAAATGGAAACACGCATATTTCAATTTTGTATGAAGAACAAGTCTAAGATCTCTATATCAGTTCCATGGCCTGGCACTGCAAGAATAATTCATCTGTACCAATTGATGAATCAGTAAAATAGAAGATTTGCTAAACAGTTGCTATGTCCCCAGCTTTGTGGTCAATACTTAAAGGAATTCAAATGTCTTCATAAAAAATGGTCCCTAAGCTACTGGCCCTTCATAGAGGTGAAGGAATATGCATTCAATTATGTGGGAAATGCAAAGAGGGAGCAATTTCCTAATCTGTAATAGGCAGATAATTGTATTTTCCTCATTCATAAACCTACTGAGAGGATCGTGAGGCATAAATAAATCAATACATGTAAAGGACTTAGGACAGTGTTTCTAACACAGGTATAACTATAATTTTAATTATAATAATATTATTATCACCATCATCATCAAGAACAACAGCATTATCATTTGGAACAGCAGTTTGCTTTCCATGAGACCATAATGTTTCAAGTGGATTCAGTGTTCAGGATATGGTGCTGAGAAAGAGGACTCCTAAGTTTATTATTATTTCTGCCACCAATTGATTCACTTCTGTGACCTTGGGTAAAATTCTGCTAAGGCTTCTCCACCTGGAAAATGACAAAGACTGGGCAAAAAGCTATTTAAATCTCATATGAAAGAAAATGGAATCTATAATTATGAAGTGTTATTATCAATGATATTCCTATGCCTGGCTAATTTATATAAATCAGAAAAGTCTGGATATGCTAAACCACCTCAGATAAGCCAAAACTGCTTGAGCAGATTTTTTAAAAATCTCATATCTAAAAATACGTGAGGTCTCAAATGACTGGAGCTATATGGATGTCCTCTGCCTAGTTCTTAGTCTCATGATGTGACATAGGGAATCTCTATCAGGTATAAACTGATCAACAGAAAGTTCCCTGAAAAGTCCCTTACTATTAATACTATTTTTGCATGAGGAATCTTTGAATATTCAAATAAAAATAAACAAACAACAGGGAAAGTGAGAGGCACTATGAAACCAACCTAAAGCCAGAAAGAATTAGGTTCAAATCCTGGCTCTATCACTTTCCTGCTAGGTGACCTTGGGCAGGTTAACTAATCACTATGAGCCTCAGTTTTCTTATAAGTATAGTGTGGTTGCTTTGCTTTTTAATGAAGATAAGTATTCACGAGGGATTCTGTGAGGATTGAATGAGACAATGTGCATGATAAGCATAGAACAATGCCTTGCACACAGCTGTGCAACAACCTTGATTCACTTTCCCTTCATGTCCAGGCTAACTAGTGCCAGTCAGAGACCTCAGCCTTACCAGGAAAAATACTTAGATCTAAAAGGAAGAAAAACAGAGGACATAAATTAGTACGTTCTATCTGTTCTAAATCCTACTGAAGAAAATGAAGTCAATGCTTTGACCAATTTGCCCAAAGATTCACAGATTTGAAGACCTCAGCATTTCTGTGTTCTAGTTCTCTTAGTTTAAAGACAAGGAAATTGAAATCCAGAAGGGTTACCTCCAAGGTAAAAGCCGTAACTGAAACCAACACTCCACTCTTGCTTTAGCCTTTTATCAGAGAGACCAGCTTAGCAAACACTGCCCAGTTTTGTCTGATTTTGTAGAATGTGGTAAATTATAGAATTAGAGAATGTGCTGCATTTAGTCTTGAAAGAATATATGGAGGCAGTAAGTATAGTGGTCAAGAGCATAGGCTCTGAAGGCGAGAAGGGGGCTTGACAAGTCACCTGCCCTCTCTAAGAGCCTCATTCACCTCATCTATCAAGGAGATAACAATGATACCAATCTACAAAGGATGTTAGGGAGACTAAATGAAATTATGCACAAAAATCACATCGCACAGTGCCTGGCATGCAGTCAGTATTCAGAAAATGATAACTATTATTAACTATAAAAACAATAACAATTTACCCTCTCTAACTAGGATGGCTGAAATCCAGAAGGGTTTTCAAGGTAAAAGCAATAATCTTACATCAAAGTCTAACCTTCTTGCACCTTCTTTCTGTAGAAAAATCATCATATAGCTTATCACATTTATTCATTCTCCATTACTAAATATTCATGTGTAAATTGTTAAATTCTTTTATAGCATCAGTAGATTCCAAATTAACTGCATTTGCTTATTTTATCACCAAGTCTTCTTGGCTCTTTGTCAAGATATCTAAGGAAATTTATGTACTCAAGAAAGGGGAGATGGGAAGAAAGCACTTCTCTTTCTTCATGCCTCCAAAGGAGTGTTCGCCCATCTAACTCAAGAAAAAGTTTCAATGATGAAGCTGAAATTAAACTTCTATTAGGTATTTCTTCCTTCTCCCCAGGACTGGAGTACATGAATAGTCTCATATCTGGTTTCCCCAACCTCAGTCCCTCTACTACTTAAATTTTCCCTAAAGCATAGCTCTGGTTATTTCATTCCGTCTGTCCAAAAAGCATTTAATATGTGATGCAGGTCCAGCTAAAGAAGAAAAAGGAAAGAAAGAAAAAACCTTTTAACGATTTTTAACTGTACAGCGATTAAATTATACACAACTGGCCTGATAATAGAGTCTATTCAAAATTTGACCTCAATCTACCTATCCAGCTTTATCTTCCATTATTATCTGCTAGCCTAACTGGATTTCCCAAACATGCCCTATGCTTCTTGGTGCCACATCATTGTGTGCCCTTCAGCTTCATGGTTAAATGCTACGTCCCCTGTGAAGCCTTACTTTATCTCTCCAAATTAAAAGTAATTTCTCATGATGACATTATGAGCTTTCAAATATTCTTTTCATACTGCAACATTGGCATCCTGTGTAAATGCTTCATATTTCTACACCTGTCTTATTTACCCTTTTAAATTGCAAACTCCCTAAGGACAGAGGAAATGATGGTGTGGCAGAACTACCCAGGTGCGCTGGTTATTAAGATACTGCCTCTCAGCGTTGTCATGCTGGGGCAGGAATTTCAGGATAAGTAAACCTAGGTTCACATACCTTTCTGCCACTTCCTAACTGGGGGACCTTTTTTGTGTAAATTACTTCAACTTTTACAACCTAATTTCCTCATTTATAAAATAGGGGTTGCAAAAATTACCTCAAAGTTTGTAGTGAGGAATAAATGAATTTATGTAAAGTACCCAGCACAATGTCTGATACAAATAACCGCAGCTCGGGCGCGGTGGCTCACGCCTGTAATCCCAGCACTTCGGGAGGCCGAGGCGGGCGGATCACGAGGTCGGGAGATCGAGACCATCCTGCTTAACACGGTGAAACCCCGTCTCTACTAAAAATACAAAAAAAATTAGCCGAGCGTGGTGGCAGGTGCCTGTAGTTCCAGCTACTCGGAGGCTGAGGCAGGAGAATGGCGTGAACCCGGAGGCGGAGCTTGCAGTGAGCCGAGATCGCGCCACTGCACTCCAGCCTGGGCGACAGAGTAAGACTCCGTCTCAAAAACAACAACAACAAAAACAAATAACCGACAGCTGTGACTAATCTGAGGTCCTCGCAGTGTCTCTCACCTCTTGGTGCAGTAAAAGCATTGAAAGAGTGAACCAACAAGAGAACAAAGAAGGAATAGATGACAAGAGGCGGAAGTGGACTAACAATGATATGTTTGTTGAATGAGTGAGAAGGTAATAGATAATGCTGTGAGATTATGTGGAAAACTTTTTATCTGAAGTCTTTAAAAGACATTCTCACTTTTGGCTGGGCGCGGGGGCTCACACCTGTAATTCCAGCACTTTGGGAGGCTGAGGTGGGCGGATCACTTGAGGTCAGGAGTTCCAGACCAGCCTGGACAAACTGGTGAAACGCTGTCTCTACTAAAAATACAAAAATTAGCCAGGCGTGGTGGTGGGTGCCTGTAATCCCAGCTACTCGGGAGGCTAAGGCAGGATAATCGCTTGAACCCAGGAGGCAGAGGTTGCAGTGGGCCGAGATTGTGCCACTGTACTCCAGCCGGGGTGACAGAGCGAAACTCCATCTCGAAAAAATAAAAAATGTACTCCAGCTGGGGTGACAGAGAGAAACTCCACCTCAAAAAAATAAAAAATAAGGGCTGGGCACGGTGGCTCACGCCTGTAATCTCAGCACTTTAGGAGGCTGAGGCAGGCGGATCACAAGGTCAGGAAATGAGACCATCCTGGCTAACACGGTGAAACCCCGTCTCTACTAAAAATACAAAAAATTAGCCGGGTGTGGTGGCGGGCACCTGTAGTCCCAGCTACTCGGGAGGCTGAGGCAGGAGAACGGTGTGAACCCAGGAGTCGGAGCTTGCAATGCGCTGAGATCGCGCCACTGCACTCCAGCCCGGGTGACAGAGCGAGACTCCATCTCAAATAAGTAGATAAATAAAGACTTTCTCAGGTTTTTGTTTTGTTTTTGTTTTTTTGACAGTCTTGCTCTGTCGCCCAGGCTGGAGTACAGTGGCGCAATCTCGGCTCACTGCAAGCTCTGCCTCCTGGGTTCATGCCATTCTCCTGCCTCAGTCTCCGAGTAGCTGGGACTACAGGCGCCTGCCACCACGCCCGGATAATTTTTTTGTATTTTTTGTAGAGACAGGGTTTCACCGTGTTAGGCAGGATGGTCTCGATCTCCTGACCTCGTGATCCGCCCGCCTCGGCCTCCCAAAGTGTTGGGATTACAGGCGTGAGCCACCGCGCCTGGCTGACTTTTTCAGTTTTAAGCTAAGAATATTCTCTAATAGGTATATTATTGACCCATTGACAATAGAAGATTGAATACACTTTAGGATTCCAGCCTCCTCTTCTACTGCTCATGCTCTCCGTAAGAAGGGCTAAACATCCTACTCCTGTGCACTACATTGGAGCTCAGAAATACTGACTTAAAATCTCCAGATCTTAACACGGACTTTTAAAGGGAAGATTGAGTATGGACCCAGTATTAGATGGTATTATGGAATTATTTTTAAGCTTTTTGGGTACAATAATAGTATTGTGGTTATGTTTAAAAACAAAGCCTTCTCTGTGAGAGTTATATTCTGATATCTTCCCAAATAAAATTATATGATGTCAGAGAGTTGCTGTAAGGGGTGGAAGAGGACAAGATGGAGAACGAACAGTGCAGGGAGATCACTGAAAAGAACAGCAAAATGTTGGGAACCGTTAAAGCTGAGTGATGGGAACATGGCTCCCTGGTAAATGGGACACATACATCGGGAGGTACTATTTTCGTAGTCTTTGTTTATATTTGAAAATTTTCAAACTTACATAATGAGAAGTCAAAAGGGGCATTTTCATCCCAAAAAGGCAAATGTCCATATTCTTTTTTATTTTTTCATTTTCATTTCTGGAATTACCTAAACTCAGGTTATAGATAGCAATGAAAATTCGGCTCCCTGTGGCAGCTTCTTTCAGCCACCAGACTTACATAGACTCAGTGGTGCAGAGTCCGTTTCCCAATACTGAGGGATAAAGAAAATTAAACCTGCCTCTAGGCACGTCTCAAACTTGGGAGACTCAGAATACAACAGAGTATGGGATATAGGGAGGAAAGAAGAGATGCAGAAATAAATTAAAAACAAGATTTGTTTAAAGAGGAACTGCAACTTCTTTAATTGGGCAGATTGAACCAATAAAAGCACAGTTCTCTCCCTTCACCTCTTATCCTTTAGTCTCTTCAACTTTCACATTGCTTCACTCACTCTCTTCCTCTCCCTTTCACCTGCTCACCTTAGCCAACTTGAACTGTGCCCTCTGATCTGACACAGGATGACAATGACATCAGTCATTACCCAGCAGCCATTTTTTCTGATAACTAGAGTTCTGAGTGATGATAGTTCATGGTGAGATAATTTCCAAGACCTCGCTAGCCATTGGTGGTACTACTCTCCATTAAAGACAAGGGCATTTGCTGATTGAGAAATCAATCATACAAGTGTCCTTGGAGGCCACCAAGGCTTTGCCTGAACTGTTCTCAGCCTATGATGGTTTCTCTTTCTAAACCTGTTCTTCTAGGTTCAGCTCAAACATCCTCTCCTATAGAAACCTTTCCCCAACCTCCCAGTCAGAACTAATAATTTCTTTTCACTTCAACTGTACTTAGTTTATAATTTATATGACTATAATTTAATAACTGAGACTCTTCTGATAGTACAAACAGGTGCTATCATAATTACCTCTGGGCAACAGGCAAAAATCAAGATTGTCCTTAGTAAACCAGGATTCATACCAGGTCATCTGATGTTTACCTCTAGTATAGCACTCACCCGACTCTGCCTTACATTGCTTATTTAAAATGTCTGCCTCCCCTTCTAGGTTTTATAAAAGTTCTTGGCTCACAGTAACTCTTAGTATAAGTTTCTGAAATAAACACTTTGTTATCACTTTTGAATTGATGGCTTACATTTTTGTTTTGGCATTTAACTTCACATTTGTGCATTCATGTGTATGCATTTCAACTCATCTGCAAGCTTATATCCCTCAAAGTTTGCTGCTGGGCTAAGAGCAGCCACTCAAAAAATAATAATAGGCCAGGCGCAGTGGCTCACGCCTGTAATCCCAGCGCTTTGGGAAGCTGAGGCTGGTGGATCACTTGAGGTCAGGAGTTCAAGACCAGCCTGGCCAACATGATGAAACCTCATCTCTACTAAAAATACATAAATTAGCCGGGCGTGGTGGTGGGAGCCCAGCTACTCAGGGCTCCTCAGCTACTCAGCTATTCAGCTACTCAGGAGGCTGAGGCAGGAGAATTGCTTGAACCCAGGAGGCGGAGGTTTCGGTGAGCGAAGATTGCGCCACTGCACTCCAGCCTGGGCAAGAGTGAGATTCCGTCTCAAAAAAATAAATAAATAAATAAAAACAAAAAAGAAATAAATAGTTTTTAAAAAATCTTGACAGCATACCAGCATACATTCATTGATAAAGTCGACAAGAAAGTATTGGAGATTAAAGATTGCCAAAACCTAAGTGCTTTTCTTGGCATCATTGTCCTTGACCTCAAGGAGTTCTCAGTGTAATCAGAGTTGTGTTAAGGTCAGTGAGTGAAGGAAATGGGTACTGCACCTTTGCAAGATAGTAGGAAGCAAGCCAGAGAAGAGCTGGCATTCCACAAAAGAGTCTTTATTTGGGACAAAAATCAATATGACCAAATCCCATCCTAATCAATTCTGTAAACTAAAGGAATTTTTAAAAAATAATTTAGCAGGAGGAAGAGTTTCAAAATCTTGTAGGGAAACCCTGATGTAACTCCTGATTATTCACCCAAAGTGAAAAGTAACTATTAGTGAATGGGTTTTATTTTAAAACGTTTCATTTTTAGAATCTTATCTCTTCTAGGAAAAGTGTAGTACATACATCTTTTTTGTATGCAGAGTGAATTTCTTCTCCAGGCTTCTCTGACATCAATGGGGCAAGGTCATAACTCTATAAAACAGGGAGAAGCACTGAGCATTTTCAGAAAGGACTCTATCTGTCTTGACCAAAAGACAAAGGACTGGTCATTGCAGGATCCCCAGAAATACATTTTAGTAGCTTCCAAGTGAATTCTTTTGTAAATGGAGTTTCTCTCCATTCATAAGTTTTAGAGCAAAAATGAAGCCTTAGTGGGTCTAGATATCTGGCTAACATTAACTCCCTGTGTGACCTTAAACTGGTCGTCCCCAGAGCTTTATGCTTTTATACAATTAACTTGAATTACAGCCTCTCCTTCTTGCCCATAAGAATGATAATACCACCTGCATTACTCATCTTTTACGCTTATGTGAGACACCTAGCCACCTATCAGAAGGTATTCAAATGCAAAGCATTAAGTTTTTACACTTTAATGTGAAGTGGAAGAAAGTCTTGATTCAAATGCACAATCTCTACCTTTCTACTGATTCCACATTTGCTGTCTTTTACTAGTGCAGTTAAGTCCCAAATTAGAAACATAAGTCGCCCCAACATGTGACAAATGTCCTTTGTTGCCAGAGAAAGGACAGTGGGGCTGTGTCCTCAGCCTTAGCAACCAGAAGATTCTGCAAGACCAGGACATTCTCCTGCCAGAGCCTGCTTTAGTGTCCAGTGCTGTTCTCCAAAGAGATGGAAAAAACCAAGTGGAAAAGTTTCAGTTTATTCAATATAAGGCTCCACATTCAAATGGCAAAACTGCTCTGTTCAGGTCATATTTCAAGCCCAACCTATGTCAGTCCTTAGTAAAAGCTTCAAAGCAATACCAGTCCTTTCCCAGCCTGGTTTACCTTGATTAGACAAACACAGACACCCATGTCTGAGTAAGCACTGAGACCATGGATGAGTGCTAAGGAGATTAGGTGTTTGGATAGACACAGCTAGGGTGTGTGTATATGTGTGTGTGTGTGTGTGTGTGTGTGTGTGTGTGTGTGTGTAGAGAGAGAGAGAGAGACAGAGGCAAAGACAGAGACAGTGCTCATTGGGCAGAGGACAGAGTAGCTGAGATAGTATCATTTGTTTATTCATTTGCTTTTTCATAAAATACTTAGTAAGCACCTACTTGGTATGTGCCGACACTTTAATAGGTACTAGAAAGAGCAAGACAGACAGAATCACAGTCTTCAGAGAATTTACAGCCTATGGGGTTAATTAAACCAATGATTATCATAGCATGTAACAAACAAAAGAGAACCCAGAATCAGCTGTATGGAAATGCACACAGGTGGCAGATATAAATAGCAGCAGATACACGAATCAGTGCGGGTCCATCATATAACTCCTAGCTTTAGTCTCTAAACTTAGGCTCCCACTCAACTCAACTCCTACTCTAACTCAAGATATACCATACCTTGGTTTGCTCTTTCTCTAAGCATCGCTGTTCTAGTCTTCTAAGGAGCAGGAATATAAATCTACATCTATGTGAAACTACAGCACCCCCAAGGGAAAACAAAGAATCCAGTGCTATTCTAGTAATTTTAGGGCAGTAGTACAGTACAATGCAAAGTATAGGCTTTTGAACTAAATTGGCCTGGGTTCAAATATGAGCCCTCTTACATTCTATTAGGTTGAACCATATAAAAATGGAGATATTCAATCATTTTTTTACAGTTTCACGTAGTTCATCTCTGTATTCTAGAGGTAAATCATTTTAACCTAAGTTTCATTTCCTTCTGTTGTTAGTTTTTTTAATGGTGCTAATACCCCTACCTTTCAGGGTTGTAAATGAAAAGATGTTAAAAAAAAAAAATACCTGACATATAGTGGGTGTTCAATAAATGTTAGTTTTCCCAAAGACAGTCAGATGCATGAATCATAATAAGAGGTATTTCTGGTCAACACTAAGCTTAAGAATCCAAGAAAAGATATATCAAAATGAGACATCTTTGGGTTTGGATAGTGGGGGAGGCTGTATATACACAGGTATGTATGTAGGGGCAGGGAGTAAATGGGAAATCTCTGGCTCTTCTGCTTAACTTTGCCGTGAGCTTAAAACTGCTCTAAAAAACAAAATCTGACCAGGCCTGGTGGCTCACACTTGTAATCCTAGCACTTTGGGGGGCTGAAGCAGAAGGATCCCTCGAGCCCAGGAGTTTGAGACCAGCCCGGGCAACATAGAAAGACCCTATCTCATTTTAAAAAACTAAAAAATAAAAAATAAAATAAAAAACAAAATCCATTTTTTTAAACAAAAAGAAAAATGAGGGAAAATGAGGTGTTCTGCTTGTTTTATTTAGACTCTGAGCACAGAGTTCCCAAGATACATTCTGCTGTGGTATTCACACTGATCTCCAATTAAACCCTTCTCAGTGTGTCATGAGCTATTCATTCCCTATAGTCACTCTGTTAGAATCTTGGTCGTGTCCCAGAGGCCTCTGTTGATGTGGCCCAACTGAGCTGGCAAGTGAGAAAACATACACATAAATACCCATGATCTCAGCGATTCTCTCCCCTCCCCAGGACATTCCTTAGCAGAACCAATCTCTCTCACTCGGCTGGAGCCTCTCTGTTCACAGATAGGCCTGGCTGGGCTTAATTTAGCAAAGGGCAGGCCCCCTGCAAAAGCCAGGGGTAAGTCTGGAGCCCCTGTAATGCCCCAGGACACCTTGTGTGGAGACAGGAGCCCAGCCCTGCCGAAGGAGCTAAAGGGGATGTTCAGAATGTTTGTTTTTCTCAGCTATTTAGGAACTGGAGCTCACGGGAACCACCCTTTACTTCCTTAACTTCTCACATAAATGTTTTCTTTGGGCAGCAGCTATAGAACTGGAAACTAAGTAAAACCTTACTTTGGAATATAAAAACTATATTAATTTTTCTACAGATAAATTGTTGCATAGGAAACTTGCTAAATATTTTTAAATTATCTGTAACACCTAACATAATCTGACATTTATCCCCAAATTCAGCTTTCAATTCTGGATTGAAACATACTTTGATCTGTTCTCTAAAAAGGACAAAGCCAGTCACTGGTGTTTTGCAAAGTCTGGGACCATTTTTCCTACACAGAATCTCACACAATAAACAGACAAGATATTAGAAACTAAGTTCTAATATCTAGCAGTCACTCCTTCCCTGGAAGCCTGGCTGTGTCCTGAAGCCAGGTCCTATGATCAGGCAACTCTTCTGAAGCTCTGCTTCCACTAGGGACAGCACTTACCCTGTAGACTCTACAGATGTACCATCCAGGATGGCAGGCATGAGCCACATGTGGCTACTGAACCCTTGAGATGTGACTAGTCCAAATCGAAATGTGCTGTAAGGATTTCAGACTTAGCACGCACAGGAGTTCAAAGACTAACTACAACAAAAGAATGTGACATCTCATTAATAATTGTAAAATGTTGATTTCATGTTGAAATGATAATGTTTTAAATGTATTATTAACATTAATTTCACATATTTCTTTTTACTTTTTTTAATGTGGCCATGAGAAAAATTTAAATTACATGTATGGCTTATATTTACGTTGGACAGCACTGTTCTATAAGATGTTAGGAAAAAGATGTATTTGCTTTAAGTACTTTGCATTAAGACATAGTCTGACCTGAATCACAGTTAATCCTGTGGTCTCATAGCATCTTGGAGAGTTTTGTGGGGTGCTGGCATCCATCAACCAACAAAATACCAAAATGACTCTAGGTAATTATAAGTGAAGCAAAACCACTGGGCAGGGATGATAACAGGCACTGTACTTAACAGGAGTCAGCGTATCACAATGCTGCTCGGACTATGTTCAGACACTAAACTCTAAGTGTCATGAGGGCAGGGACTCCCTCTATCTTCTCACCATTGTAGCATTGCTAGCACAATGCCCACACACAGAAGATAATGATATATTTATCAAACAAATGGATGCTGTTCAAAATAAAAATATAGCTCTCTTGAAAAACAATTCTCCCTGCAAGAACTTCCTCTTCTTACTGTTTCTTTTCTCAATTTTTTTGCTTCCTACTTCCACCAACCCCTCTTGCAGAGACTGCTCCATTCCAGTAAAAGGTGAAGGTTCAACTGGAGACCTCCAAAGTCGGCTGGGCCTAGGGTTTGGGTAGGCAATTGCTGGAAGAGCACAGAGAGGGAAAGATTTCAGGCAGTGGTGATAAGAAAAGGCCCACCTGGGTCAGGTGTGGTGGCTCACGCCTGTAATCCCAGCACTTTGGGAGGCCGAGGTGGGCGGATCATGAGGTCAGGAGTTCGAGACCAGCTTGGTCAACATGGTGAAACCCCGTCTCTACTAAAGATACAAAAAAATTAGCCAGGTGTGGTGGTGTGTGCCTGTAATCCCAGCTACTTGGGAGGCTGAGGCAGGAGAATCGCTTGAACCCAGGAGGCAGAGGTTGTAGTGAGCTGAGATTGCACCACTGCACTCCAGCCTGGGCAACAGGGACATACTCCGTCTCAAACAAACAAACAAACAAAAAAACCAGAAGAAAGCACTGGCAGTCTCTTACCGCCATATCAATCCATCTACACATCTCGGGTTACATTCTCTGTCTTTCCACTTATAACCATAGATCAACTATCCATGCTCCTATCTAAAGCCAAACCTTCCACTTATGTATTAATTAAGTCCTATTCCCCCTACCTCTCAAAGGCAACACCTAGAAGGTCTCCCCTGCTTCTCTTTATCAATATTTCACTTTCTAATGGAAAATTCTGTTGGCATACGAACATGCTATTATTCATTTATCTTTCTAGAAATCCCCTATGGACCTCATACCCTTATCAGGTATGCCCCATTCCTTTGCTCTCCTTTGAAACAAAACTCAAAGTAATTATTCATCCTCATTGACTCCAATTCTTCTCCTCACATTGTTTCTTAAACCCACTGCAAGCAGGCTTTTGTCTTCACCACTCCACCAGAATTACTTTAATCAAGATCACTAATGACATCCATGTTGTTAAATCCAAAGGTCAATTCTTTTTTGAGACAGAGTCTTGCTCTGTTGCCCAGGCTGGAGTGCAGTGGTGCAATCTCGGCTCACTGCAACCTCCGCCTCCTGGGTTCAAGTGATTCTCTTGCCTCAGCCTCCTGAGTAGCTGGGATTACAGGCATGCGCCACCATGTCCAGCTAATTTTCGTATTTTCAGTAGAGACCAGGTTTCACCATGTTGGTCAGGCTGGTCTCAAACTCCCGACCTCAAGTGATTGGCCCACCTTGGCCTCCCAAAGTGCTGGGATTACAGGCGTGAGCCACCACGTCTGGCGGGCCAAAGGTCAATTCTTAATCATCGTATTACTCAAGCTCTCAGCAGGATTTCAAAAGGTGGATCCTGTCCTCTTCACTACACACATTCTTCATTTGGCTTCCGGGACTCCAGACTTTTTCTCCTACTTCACTGGTTTGTACCTTCTCTATCTTCCTTTTCTGATTCTTCCTCTTTTCTCCAAATTACTAATGTTGGAGCTATACAGGACCAGTCTCTGGTCCTTTTCTCTTCCACCTGGAAAGGTCTAACTCCAACTCCTTTGGTGATCTCCTATGGTTTCATGGCTTTAAATATTTAAATTTAATATTTAATGATCTATTTGCTGATAACTCCCAAATTTATGTCTCTAGCCCTACTCTATTTCCTGAACTTTAGACTTATGTATTCAACTGCTTACTTAATGCTGCCACATAAAATGTCTAGCAAATAGCTTACACACCAAATTTCCAAAACTGAACCCCTACTCTCCACCTTCAAATCTGCTCCATCCATAGCCTTCCCTATCTCAGTTATGGCAACTCCATCCTTCCAGTTGCTTACTCCAAAAACCCTGGAATTTTCCTTGATTCCTTTATTTCTCTCCCATTCTGTATCCAATCCATTGACAAAATCCTTTTAGATTTGCTACCTTCACCACTTGTTCCCACATGCATCACTATTACCTAAGTCTGATCACTATCAGCCCCTACATACATTACTGCAGTGTCTTCCTAAGAGTCCTCCTGGTGTCTACTTTTGTTCTACAGCCTATTTGCAATACTGTAACCAGATTTATCATTTCAACAAGTCAGACAGGACTGGCATTTGTTAGACCCCTCCTCTGCTCAAAACCCTTCAATAGGTTCCCATGTCACTCTGAGTAAAAGCTGAAGTCTTTAAAATCATCTACAGGGACTTACTACACAAGCCCCATACCCTCTGGGGCCTCATCTTCCAGCATGCTTAATCTTGATTATGCTGCATCAGCCACAGTGGCTTTCCTGATGTTTCTCTGCCTGGAATATTCTTCCCCCAGTTCTCTGTTTGACCAACTTCGTCATCTCCTTCAAGTTGCTATTTGAAAATTATTTTCTATGGCATAGCCACTTTGAAAAATAGTTAGACAGTATCTATTCAGAAAATAGGCAGAAATACCGACTGGGCATCCCTAATCTAAAAATTCAAAATCCAGCATGTTCCAAAATCCAAAACTTTTTGAGGACCAACATGATACCTCAGGTGGAAAGCTCCATACCTGACCTCATGAAAGGTTGCAGCAAAAATGCAGGCACAACACCCAGTTTATTCAGCATCCCCAAGAGAAAAACATAATTACCTTCAGGCTATGTGTACAAGGTGTATATGAAACATAAATAAATTTCATGTTTAGACTTGGGTCCCATCCCCAAGATATCTCATTATGTATATGCAAATATTTCAAAATCTGAACACATCTGAAAATCTTCTGGTTCAAGCATTTCAGATAAGAGATATTTAATCTATATATACTTATTATATAACCTAACAGTTCCACTACTGGGCATTTACCCAAAAGAAATAAAACAAAGACTTGTTACATGAATATTCATAGCAGCTTAATCCATAATAGCCTGTTACTGAACACAACTCATACATTCATCAACAAATGAATGAATAAACAAATTGTATTATATTCATACAATGGAATACTACTCAGCAATAAAAATGAATGTACTACTGATACAAATAGCATGGATGAAACTCAAAATCATTATTCTAAGAGCCAGATACTATAGTCTGTATTTTATGATTCACTTTCAATGAAATTCTACAATAGACAGAACTATCTATCAACAGAAAGCAGATCAGTGGTTTTCTGCAGCCAGAGGTATGAAAGGTTTGAAACATGTGGCACCAGTAGGACATATGGAAACTTTTTTGGTGTGATGGAAGTATTTTTTTATCTTGATTGTGTGGTGTTTGTTATACAGTGGTATACATTTGTTAAAATTTATCTAACTGCATACTTAATAAAGTTTATTTAAACAAAACATGAAAGGAAAAACTAAAATGACATAGCAAGTGGCAATGCAAACTGCCAAGTGCAAAGAATGAGTAAAGAGCTTGGTTGGCATGGAGACTACCAGTCTAGGATGCTTTCATTGCCTCAGGTCAGCTTGGAAGGCCATAAAGGCTGTGAAGGTAAACCTAGAAACAAATCTTCCTGCACTGGTAACTGTCATGTTTATTTGCTTCTCTTTCCATCCCATCCTTTCAAAAAAAAAAAAGTAAAAGGTAGTGTGGTCCACAAACTACAGTGTGGCTCCCCATGATCCCCGCCTCTTGGTGTTTGTGCCCTTGTGTAACTCCTTCTCTTTGGGTATGAGCAGGCCCTGCGACTTACTTCTAACCAATAGAATATGGCAAAGGTGAAAGAATGTCACTCCTGTGATTATATTAAATTTCAAGGCTCTCTTGCTTGCAGATTTGCTCTAGAGCCTCTCCTTGCTGACTTGAAGTGGCCATATGGGGAAAGCTCACATGGCAAGGAACACTAGGTGACTTCAAGGAACCCTGGACAGCCTCTAGCCAACCTCTGGCAAGAAGTCAAGGCCCTCAGTCCTACTGCTACAAAGAAATGGATTCTGTTGACAGCCCAAGTGAGCTCTGAGTCAGATTCCTCAGTCAAGCCTCTAGAGGAGAATGCAGCCTGGCCAATACCTTGGCTGTAGCCTAGGGAGACCCTAAGCAGACAACCCAGCTAAGCGGTGCCTGGATTCCTGACCCACACACACTGTGAGATAATAAATGTGTTGGGGGGTGAAGGAGGGATAGGGGTAGGGGTGGCTGTGCATTTGGGTATGGAAGGGTGTTTTAAATCACTTTCTAAACACGGCCTCTCCTGGCCACTCCTTAATACTGCAACCTGCTCTCCACTCCTGTAATTTTTTTTTCAACATTTGTTTTAGGTTCAGGGGGTACATGTGCAGGTTTGTTACATGGGTAACTTGCATGTTGCGGAGGTTTGGTGTATGAATGAACCCATCACGCAGGTAGTAAGTATAGTACCCAATAGTTAGCTTTTCAACCCTCTCCCCCCTTCTACCTTCCACTGGGGTAGGCCCCAGTGCTTATTGTTCCCATCTTTGTGTCCATGTCTCAAAGTTTTGCTCTCACTTATAAGTGAGAACATGCAGTATTTGGTTTTCTGTGCCTGTGTTAATTAGCTTAGGATAATGGCCTCCAGCTGCATCTCTTTTGCTGCAGAAGACATGATTTCATTCTTTTAATGGATGCATAGTATTCCGTGCTTTATATGTACCGTATTTTTCCTCCCCAGTCTACTGTTGATGTGTATCTAGGTTGATTCCATGCCTTTGCTATTGTGGATAGTGCTGCAGTGAACATGTAAGTGCATGTGTCTTTTTGGTAGAACAATTTATTTTCCTTTGGGTATATATCCAGTAATGGGATTGCTGGGTCAAATGGTAGTTTTCTTTTAAATTCTTTGAGAAATCACCAAACTGCTTTCCGCAGTGACTGAACTAATTTACATTCTCACCAACAGCGTATAAGCACTTTTCTCTACAACCTTGCCAACACCTTATTTTTTGTTTTTCACAGTAGGCATTCTGACTGGTGTGCAATGGTGTCTCATTGTGGTTTTGACTTGCATTTCTCTAATGATTAGTGATATTGAGCATGAGAATTTTTTCAAATATTTGTTGGCCCCATGTATGTCTTCCGTTCATGTCCTTTGCCCATTTTTTAGTTGGGACAAGGTCTCGATCTGTTGCCCAGGAGTGCAGTCTGATCACTGGAGTTCAGTGATGCAAACACAGCTCACTGCAGCCTTGACCTCCTAGGCTCTAGCAATCCTTCCACCACTGCCTCCCAAAGTGCTGGAGTTTCAGATTTGAGCCACCACACCTTTGCTCATTTTTGAAGTGGGGCAAGACCCCCACTTCGTAGGACTATTACTTGATTGAGATTAAATATGTGTAAAATGCATAACATGGTGCCTGGCTTATAGTAAACACTAAATGGATTTCTTCTTCCATAGGATTTAAATAGGGAGCAATTTTTTTTCTATCAAGAGCTGATCAGAAATAAATGGGAAGCATTTAAATGCTCTCCTTCCCTTGCCCCAAGAGGACTTTCACTTTCCAACATTCTACATACTTTATTTATAATATTTATTGTTTATTTTCTGTCTACTCATGACAGACTATAAGTTCTATGAGGATGGGAATGCCTGTATGTGCTTATTATATGACCTAACAGTTCCACTACTGGGTATTTACCCAAAAGAAATAAAACAAAGACTTATACATGAATATATTGATATATACTCCAGTCACCTCCAATAGAATCTAGAACACAGTAGGGGCTTAGTACATATTTTTAAATGAATGAAGACTAATGTTTAGTTTAAACTAGGATTGACCTATTCTTATCCTCGGCAGGGACAGAGAATAACTAATTACCACTTGTCACATATTGAGACTTCAGTACCTAAAAGGCACTATTAGGTCACCTGTAAGTCTGTTTTCCCCCAAAGTAAAAATCCCAATTCCATTGCCCTTTTCACATAAGCCTCATTTTCTAACCTTTTTAGTTTGGTTTAATGAATTTCCTATTTCCTCTGAATTCTAGAGTTCCAAACCAGACTCAGCACAAGCCTAACAGGGCAACCTATACAGATAAGGACAGCCCAGGCACATTGCACACGGCAAGTTGCACCTGTTTTAAGAGTAAAAATGAGGTCAATGCCACCTTGTACTGCAGGTACCTCAATGAGACAATGCCACCCCTTCCTGCCACAATCTTGGCAAAAGTCACTACGAAAGTAAATATCATTTTACTAGAGTCCTTTCTTTCTCTCCAGTGAATAACACAATGTAGTTATTCACTGGAAAACATCATTTGCATTTGAAAGAGTTACTAACTAAATTCTAAAGAATGTACCAAAGCCTTGCTTAACTGTAGAATGAGGCCACACGGCTGCTGGGATACCAGGTACTCTCCCTGAGCCTATTGATGGCAAATTTCATCCTGTGAAAAATGGGAACAAGACACCCACTTCATAGGACTATTATATGGTTGAAATTAAATATGTGTAAGATGCATAACATGGTGCCTGGCACACAGTAAACACAAAACAGATTTCTTCCTCTATAGCATTTAAATGGGAAGTGTTTAGCGTTTACTTGCCATGTGCATGAGTGAATTTGGGAAAAGTGGGGGGAGGATATGGGGCAAAGAAGGACAGAAAGGGCCTAAGAGTAGGAAGAATTTAATACCAGAAGATGGGACAAGACCTGGGTCTAGAAACCTCTTCTGCAGATAAAGTAGCTGCAAATTATAGGGAAGGAGTCCTCAGGCTGCTTTCCTTATAACCATTTATTTTCCTGCACCTTACATCAAGAACGTTAGGCACTGGTTAAGACCCTGTCCCCTTGCAGCAGTAGAGAAAACAGGAGGAAGGAGACGGGAGGTAGAAATTTGGAAGCTAGCAGTTGAAGGCCAACTCAGAAAGCGTCAGGTGGAATTCCATTCCTAATTGACATCACCATCCTCTAACTGCAGCAATTCTCTCCAGCCCTTTTATGTGCTCCCTACAGAACCAAGCTTCCACACAGCTGAAGGAACCTGTCTGCTCTCACCCCAGCTTCACAGAAGATGGCAGGGACTGGTTATTACTAACCTGCCTCCTAGTCTTCTGAGGCTCCAAATGGTTTTGTCAGCAAGCTGAGCTTCCCCACAATCCCACAGACTAGAAGGGGTTGGAAAGAACAAGCCTTAGTACAATACTGCTCCCCACCTCTAAGGGATCTGCTCCTCTGAGTCCCAGAAGTTCACCACCTTCATTTGATTTCTGCTACAGGAAGACTCTGGGAATCCAGCTCTGGACCCAGCACTTCCTGATTTTTGAAGTAGAGAGTTGACAACCCTGTTGTCATCAATACAACTGTGCTAGGTGGGTGGGAAAGGAAAATATCTTGGGCTCCCAAAATCACTAAGCTAAAAGGAAAACTCAGGATCATGCTGGATGGAAGTCAGGACTAGATTGCAGCTCCGACTCGGATGGACAGAGAAGCATGTGGAGGCTCGTATCATGAATTTTTGCTCCAGAACGACTGGAGGAATAAATTACAAAACCTCAGAGGACCCACAGGCCCCCTGAAGGAAGCAGATGGCTCCTGCAGGACCCAGGAGACACACCAAATACTGTGTTAGTATTTACTTATAGAAATGCAAAATGGTCTGGAAAGTCTCAGCCATAGAATCAAACAAGTAGAAGAAAGAAATTCAGAGCTTGAACACAAAGTCTTCAATTTGACCCAATCCAACAAAGACAAAGAAAAACAAATAAGAAAATATGAACAAAGCCTCCAAAAACTCTGGGATTATGTTAAATGACCAAACCTAAGAATAATTGGCATTGCTGAGGAAGAAGAGAAATCTAAAAGTTTGAAAAACATATTTGGGGGAATAATTGAGGAAAATTTCCCCAACCTTGCTAGAGACCTAAACAAATACAAGAAGCACAAAGAACACCTGGGAAATTTATTGCAAAGAGATCGTCACCTAGGCACATTGTCATCAGGTTATCTAAAGTTAAGACAAAAGAAAGAATCTTAAGAGCTGTGAGACAAAAGAACCCAGTAACCTATGAAGGAAAACCTGTCAGATTAACAGCAGATTTCTCAGCAGGAATCCTACAAGCCAGAAGGGATTGGGCCCCTATCTTCAGCATCCTAAAACAAAACAATTATTAGCTGAGAATTTTGTATCCAGTGAAACTAAGCTTCATATACGAAGAGAAGATACAGTATTTTTCAGACAAACAAATGCTGAGAGAATTTGCCACTACCATGCCAGCGCTACAAGAATTGCTAAAAGAAGCTTCAAATCTTGAAACAAAACCTGGAAACACATCAAAACAGAACCTCTTTAAAATATAAATCTCACAGGACCTATAAAACAAAAATACAATTCAAAAAAACAAAAACAAAACCCAAAAAACCAAGGTATACAGGCAACAAAAAGCACAATGAACGGAATGGTACCTCACATCCCAATACTAACATTGAATGTAAATGGCCGAAATGCGCCACTTAAAAGATACGGAATTGCAGAATGGATAAGAATTAACCGACCAACTATCTGCTGCCTTTAAGAGACTCACCTAACACATAAGAGACTTATCTGACACATAAGGACTCACATAAACTTAAGGTAAAGGGGTGGAAAAAGACATTTCATGCAAATGGACACCAAAAGCAAAAGCAAGCAGAAGTAACTATTGTTTTTTTGGTTTTTTTGAGATGGAGTTTCACTCTTGTAGTCCAGGCTGGAGTGCAATGGCGCGATCTTGGCTCACTGCAACCTCCACCTCCCAGGTTCAAGCAATTCTCCTGTGTCAGCTTCCCAAGTAGCTGGAACTACAGGTGTGCACCACCATGCCCAGCTAATTTTTGTATTTTTAGTACAGATAGGTTTAGTACAGGCAGGGGTGATCTGCCTGCCTTGGCCTCCCAAAGTGCTAGGATTACAGGCATAAGCCACCGTGCCTGGCCCAGCAGTAGTTATTCTTATATCAGACAAAACAAACTTTAAAGAAATTGCAGTTAAAAAAGACAAAGAGCGGCATTATATAATGATAAAAGGCCTTGTCCAACAGGAAAATATCACAATCCTAAACATATATGCACCTAACACTGGAGCTCCCAAATTTATAAAACCATCACTAATAGACCTAAGAAATGAGATAGACAGTAACACAATAATAGTGGGGGACTTCAATATGTCACTGACAGCACTAGACAGGCCAATGAGACAGAAAGTCAACAAAGAAACAATGGATTTAAACTATACCCTGGAACACATGGACTTAAGACATATATACAGAACATTCCATCCAACAACTGCAGAATATACATTCTATTCAACAGTGCCTGGAACTTTCTCCAAGATAGACCACATGGTAGGCCACAAAACAAGCCGCAATAAATTTAAGAAAATTGAAATTATATCAAGCACTCTCTCAGACCACAGTGGAATAAAACTGGAAATCAACTCCAAAAGGAGCTTTCAAAACCATGCAAATACATGGAAATTAACCTGCTCCTGAATGATCATGAAATCGAGATGGAAATTAAAAAAATCTTCAAATTGAACAAAAATAGTGATACAACCTATCAAAACTTCTGGAATACAGCAAAGTCAGTGCTAAAAGGAAAGTTCATATTCCTAAACACCTACATCAAAAAGTCTAAAAGAGCACAAACAGACAATCAAAGGTCACACTTCAAGGAACTAGAGAAACAAGAACAAACCAAACCCAAACCAGCAGAAGAAAGGAAATAACCAAGATCAGAGCAGAACTAAATGAAACTGAAACAAACAAACAAAAAATACAAAAGATAAATGAAATGAAAACCTGGTTCTTTGAAAAGATAAATAAAGCTGCCGGGCGTGGTGGCTCACGCCTGTAATCCCAGCACTTTGGGAGGCCAAGGTGGGTGGATCACAAGGTCAGGAGATCAAGACCATTCTGGCTAACATGGTGAAGCCCCGTCTCTACTAAAAATACAAAAAAGGTGTAAGGAAAGGATCCAGTTTCAGCTTTCTACATATGGCTAGCCAGTTTTCCCAGCACCATTTATTAAATAGGGAATCCTTTCCCCATTGCTTGTTTTTCTCAGGTTTGTCAAAGATCAGATAGTTGTAGATATGCGGCATTATTTATAGGTGGGAATTGAACAATGAGAACACATGGACACAGGAGGGGGAACATCACACTCTAGGGACTGTTGTGGGGTGGGGGGAGGGGGGAGGGATAGCATTAGGAGATATACCTAATGCTAAATGACGAGTTAATGGGTGCAGCACACCAGCATGGCACATGTATACATATGTAGCTAACCTGCACGTTGTGCACATGTACCCTAAAACTTAAAGTATAATAATAATAAAATAAAATAAATAAAAAATAAAAAATAAAAATAAAAATACAAAAAATTAGCCGGACGCCATGGTGGGCACCTGTAGTCCCAGCTACTCGGGAGGCTGAGGCAGGAGAATGGCATGAACCCGGGAGGCGGAGCTTGTAGTGAGCCGAGATCACACCACTGCACTCCAGCCTAGGCGACAGAGCAAGACTCCATCTCAAAAAAAAAAAAAAAAAAAAAAAAAAAACCTAGAAGAGATGGATAAATTCCTGGAAAGATACAACCCTCCTAGCTTAAATCAGGAAGAATTAGATACTCTGAACAGACCAATAACAAGCAACAAGATTGAAATGGTAATGTAAACATTACCAACAAAAATAGTCCAGGACCGGATGGATTCACAGCAGAATGTAACCAGGCATTCAAAGAATTGGTACCAATCCTATTGACACTATTTCATAGGATTGAGAAAGAGGGAACCCTCCCTAAATCATTCTATGAAGCCAGCATCACCCTAATACCAAAACCAGAAAAGGACATAACCAAAAAAGAAAACTGCAGACCAATATCCTTGATGAACATCGATACTAAAATCCTTAACAAAATACTAGCTAACCGAATCCAACAACATATCAAAAATATAATCCACCGTGATCAAGTGGGTTTCATACCAGGGATGCAGGGAGGTTTAACATACGCAAGTCAATAAATGTGGTACACCACATAAACAAAATTAAAAACAAAAATCACCATGATCATCTCAATAGATGCAGAATAAGCATTTGACAAAATCCAGCATCCCCTTATGATTAAAACTCTCAGCAAAATCAGCATACAAGGGACATATCTCAATGTAATAAAAGCCATCTATGACAAACCCACGGCCAACGTAATAATGACTGGGGGAAAAGTTAAAAGCATTTCCTCTGAGAACTGAAACAAGACAAGGATGCCCACTCACACCACTCCTCTTCAACATAGTTCTGGAAGTCCTAGCCAGAGCAAGACAAGAGAAAGAAATAAAGGGGATCCAAATTGTTATAGAGGAAGTCAAACTGTCACTATTTGCTGATGATATTATTGTTTACTTAGAAAATCCTAGAGTCCTCCAGAAAGCTCCTAGAACTCATAAAACAATTCAGCAAAATTTCTGGATACAAAATTAATGCATGCGAATCAGTAGCTCTTCTATACACCAACAGCGACCAAGCTGAGAATCAAATCAAGAACTCAACCCCTTTTACAACAGCTGCAAAAAATAAAATAAAATAAAATACTTAGGAATATACCTAACCAAGGAGGTGAAAGACCTCTACAAGGAAAACTACAAAACACTGCCGAAGGAAATCATAGACGACACAAATGAATGGAAACACATCCCATGCTCATGGATGGGTAGAATCAATATTGTGAAAATGACCATACTGCCAAAAGCAATCTACAAATTTAACACAATTCCCTTCAAAATACCGCCATCATTCTTTACAGAATTAGAAAAAACAATTCTAAAACTCATATGGAACCAAAAAGGAGCCCGCATAGCCAAAGAAAGACTAAGCAAAAAGAATAAATCTATAGGCATCACATTACCTGATTTCAAACTATACTATAAGGCCATAGTCACCAAAACAGCATGATACTGGCATAAAAATAGGCACAGAGACCAATGGAACAGAATAGATAACCCATAAATAAACTCAAATACTTACAGCCAACTGATCTTCGACAAAGCAAACAAAAACATAAAGTGGGGAAAGGACACCCTTTTCAACAAATGGTGCTGGGATAATTGGCTAGCCACATGTAAGAGAACTAAACTGGATCCTCATCTCTCACCTTACACAGAAATCAGCTCAAGATGGATTAAGGATTTAAATCTAAGTTCTGAAACTATAAAAATTCTAGAAGGTATCATCGAAAAAACCCTTATAGACATTGGCTTAGGCAAGGATTTCATGACCAAGAACCCAAAAGCAAATGCAATAAAAACAAAGACAAACAGCTGGGACTTAATTAAACTAAAGAGCTTTTGCACGGCAAAAGGAACAGTCAGCAGAGTAAACAGACAACCCACAGAGTGGGAGAAAATCTTCACAGTCTGTACATCTGACAAAGGACTAACATCCAGAATCTACAACAAGCTCAAACAAATCAGCAAGAAAAAACAAACAATCCCATCATAAAGTGGGCTAAGGACATGAATAGACAGTTCTCAAAAGAAGATATACAAATGGCCAACAAACATATGAAAAAAGGCTCAACATCGCTAATAATCAGGGAAATGCAAATCAAAACCACAATGTGATACCACCTTACTCCTGCAAGACTGGCCATAATCAAAAAAATAAAAAAATAGTAGATATGGATGTGGATGCAGTGAACAGGGAACACTTCTACACTGCTTGTGGGAATGTAAACTAGTACAGCCACTATGGAAAACAATGTGGAGATTCCTTAAAAAACTAAAAGTAGAACTACCATTTGATCCAGCAATCCCACTACAGGGTATCTACCTAGAGGAAAAGAAGTCATTATACAAAAAAGATACTTGAACACGCATACGTATAGCAGCACAGTTCACAACTGCAAAAACGTGGAACCAACCCAAGTGCCCACCAATCAATGAGTGGATAAAGTAACTGTGGTGTGTATACACACACATATATATATATATGATGGATATATATATATATATATATATATATATATATATATATATATGAGATAGAATACTACTCAGCCAATAAAAGGAATAAATTAACGCATTCACAATGATCTGGATGAGATTGGAGACTATCATTCTAAGTGAAGTAAGGCAGGAAAGGAAAACCAAACATTGTATGTTCTCACTCATAAGTGGGAGCTAAGCTATAAGGATACAAAGGCATAAGAATGACACAGTGGACTTTGGGGACTCAAGGGGAAAGGGTGGGAAGTGGGTGAGGGATAAAAGATCACAAATAGGGTGCAGTATATACTGCTTGGGTGATGGGTGCACCAAAATCTCACAAATCACCACTAAAGAAATTACTCATGTAACCAAACACCATCTGTTCCCCAATAACCTATGGAAATGAAAATACAAAAAATAAAAGGAAAACTCAAGCTGGAAACTGTTTAGGGCAAACCTGCCTCCCATTCTATTCAAAGTTATCTCTCTGCTCACTGAGATAAATGCATATCTGATTGCCTCCTTTGGAAAGGCTAATTAGAAACTCAAAAGAATGCAACCTTTTGTCTCTCTTCTGTGACCTAGAAGCCGCCTCCCCCACTGCAAGTTTTCCTGCCTTTGCTTCAAGTTGTCCCGCCTTTCCAGACCGAACCAAGGTACTTCTTACATACATTGATTGATGTCTCATGTCTCCCTAGAATGTACAAAACCAAGCTGTGCCCCAAACACCTTGGTCACATGTCATAAAGACTTCCTGAGGCTATGCCAGGGGCATGTGTCCTCAACCTTGGCAAAATAAACTTTCTAAATTTACTGAGACCTGTCTCAAATTTTCGGAGTTCACAGTGGGCAAGACTAGATTTACTTTTGTGTTGAGCAGATACTGAGCTTGACTGATAAGAATCTGGAGTGTGAGGTCTCACGGAGTAACTCTGATAGAGGAAGCTACCTGTGTGGTCTCAGGGAGAAGATCTGAGACTTACCAAGAAAAAGTGACCTGAAAGAACTGGCTGACTTCAGGCCCTTGACCAGTGCCTAGACCCTCTTTCTGCAGCTCCAGATCATAGCCATCATGCTGGCAGCCTCCCTGCCGCTCATCCAGGCACCTTAAAGAAGGGCTTCCTCTTCCCAAGCCTCTGGGTGGGCTTTCTAAAGCCCTGTGTGCATGAAGAGGTGGCTTGTAGCCCTTTGCAGCAGCAGGGCTTACATGAGGCTGGGATATGAAAAGCTGGCATTACAATGCAGCTTGTGCCTTGCATTCACTCCCCACTTCATCAAGCCAAGTTTCTAAATAACAGGGATAGTAACTGCCCACTGTGGCCCAATGTCACTTCTAAAGTTGCTTGGCAAAAAGCCACATGACTATTACTTAGCTCTCCACAGAACGGCATGTACCAAGTCGGATCACTGCTGTCGGTGTGTGGGTGGATTAGCTGCTATTGAACATGATAGGGCGGGCCCCTTTCCAGTTTGCACCAGCCTCGCTCTGTGCCTACTCCATGTATCATAGAGCCTCCTCTCTCTGTGCAGTTGAACTTGATCAGATGAGATGGCAAAAGCCAGAGCAGGGAGCAAGGCAAAAGAGAAAAATATGTTCACGGTGACTTTTGAAAACATATGGATGAAACTCCTGAGGAGGCTGAGGAACTAAACCTTTTCTTTTGGCAGTAGGCACAGAGTGCAGATTCATCTCTCTGTAATTACTCTAGCTCCTGCTGTGTGAGTTCTATTTTAGCCCAGTAATGCAAAAAGAAAGAAAAACTAAGTTCTGACAAGCACTTACATTTCTTGAATTTTTGTTGAAGGTCCCAGAGGTCATTGTAAGCAGCCTGAACAGGTAGTTAGGGCTCCTGGATTCTAGTCTCAGCTTGGCTACTAATTTACCGTGTGACGTTAGGCAAATTACTATTCTGAGCTTTAGTCATCTTATCTTTAAAATGAAGGGTTTATTCTTTAGAGGAAGCTGAGTGAATGGCATATGGGAACACTCTGTACTATTTTTATAACTTTGCTATAAGTCTAAAATTATTTTTAAATAAATGGTTTTCTTAAAAAGTGAAAGGATTATGTAGATTATCTTCAAGATCCTCTCTACCTCTGAATAATGATTTTATGTTCTTACTTATCTTCCTTCAGGTGAAAGTAAGTCTCTTTCCAGCTATCCAAACATATAACAGAGTGGAATTTTTCCTCACTCCTTCTGCCCCAGGCAAGATGTTGATCAGCCCCAACACAAACCTGTTTTCTGCTTTAAACATATCCTATACCTAGGGCAAAATTTAAATTATCTAAAACACATTTAAAAACACCCCATCCATACCCACTTTGTTCTTTCAAACAAGTAAATTCACCCAGCAGGGAAAAGCTGTTGCTGGCAGTCCATGCTTACAGAATCTCAGCCTTGCCCTAGCAACGAGGCTAATTATAACTCCGGCTACCTGGTAACCGCACTAGATTTCCCTGCATTGGCTGGCAGTTCTAAAGCCATCTCAGCTCTGCCTGCCACCTCCCATCCTGAGAAGCTGTCAGAGAAGCTGAGAAACTATGAGTCTCTTTTAAGCAACTATCTAAGCTGTGGTGAGAACACCCATGTATCATAGAGCTTCCTTTCTCTGCGCCCAGAGAAAGGCTGCCCAGAATCACGGGACTTCAGAACTGGGAGGGATGTGTGCGTCAATCCTGGTCCAGCCCACTCATTTAAACACAAAGAACCAGAAGCCCAGAAAAAGTGACTTGCCTTAGCCTGGCCTTCCTCTTGATTCCTTTCCCTCAATTCTCCCATCCTGATCAATCATCAAGTCCTACAAATATTTTACCTCTTAAATATTTTAAAGATGAGTTGCCTCCCCTCTATTCCTACTGCCACAGCCCTCATTCGGGCCTTCATCTTCTTTGGCTTGGCAAGTCTGTTCTCACTCACTTCCTGCCTTGACTCTCTTGAATCCACCTTTCCCATGCATCAGAGGGATCTAGCAGGTTCCCTGCAGCTTAAAGCCCATCAGTGGTGCCTTGTCTTCCTCAGGATAAAGTCTACAATCTTTAAAATGGCACAAAAGACTGTGTCCGTCATATCAGTCTCATTCTTCGCCTAGTACTTAAATCCACCAACACTAAACCACTTCTAATTCTGTGCAAGCACCCTATGGTTTCTTGCCTCAAGGCTTTTGCTTGTGACAAAAACTCTGTCCTTCCACTTCATCATCCATTGACTGATTAGTGCTTATTCCCCTTTGAAGACGAAGTTCAGGGGTCATCACGAATAATCCTTTGCAGATTTTCTTTCCATCCACTCTATTCATTTGGGATAGAAGTGCCCCCTTTGAGTTTCCTTACACTTTGTACACAGCTCTGTTACTGCCTTTTACTATACTCTAGCACCTGTGGTTTGCTCATCTTTGAAGTCCCAACTTCTAGTACTTGGAACATAGCAGGTACCTAATTAATGTTTATTAATGAATGAATGGATAAGTCCAAAGCTTTCCATGATTTCTCCCCTGCAGCCTCATCTTACCACCACCACAAGCCCTCCAAACCACATGATCTAGCCATACAGAATGATTCCAGTGTGCCAAGTGCACATTGCTTTTGTACACCTCTGCTTTTGTATATTGTTTCTTCTGTTTGAAATGCCTTTTCCCACCAGGCGCGGTGGCTCACACGTATAATCCCAGCACTTTGGGAGGCCGAGGTGGGTGGATTACCTGAGGTAAGGAGTTTGAGACCACCCTGGCCAGCATGGCGAAACCCCATCTCTACTAAAAATACAAAAATTAGCCGGGCATGGTGACACACGCCTGTAATCCCAGCTACTTGGGAGGCTAAGGCAGGAGAATCGCTTGAGCCCAGGAGACGGAGGTTGCAGTGAGCCGAGATCATGCCACTGCACTCCAGCCTGGCTGACAGAGCAAGACTCTGTCTCAAAGAAAAAAAAAAAGAATTTCTGGATTTTCCAGGCATGGTGGCTCATGCCTGTAATCTCAGCACTTTGGGAGGCCGAAGTGGGTGGATCACGAGGTCAAGAGATTGAGACCAGCCTGGCTAACGTGGTGAAAACCCGTCTCTACTAAAAATATGAAAAATTAGCGTATGTTTCACAGCATCTGTAATCCCAGCTACTCAGGAGGCTGGGGCAGGAGAATCGCTTGAACCTGGGAGGTGGAGATTGCAGCAAGCCAAGATGGCGCCACTGCACTCCAGCCTGGGCCACAAAGTGAGACTCCATCTCAAAAAAAAAAAAAAAAAAAGAAGAAAAAAGAAATGCCTTTTCCCATTTCTTGTTATGTTACTACCTTTTAGGATTCAATGCAAACTTCAAACACTTGGCAAGGCCTTTCCTGGTGGATTTTATTGCACTATAGCATAATCTGTCCATACCTCTATGGTAGCCCTTATTATACCATTTTTATTTATTTGTTGATGTCTTCTCCACCAGAATCTAGCACAGTAGCTGGCATATAGTAGATAATCAATAGACATTCGACTGAATATACCAATGCATATGTGCAAATATGAGCAAAAAAATGACTAAAATGATATTGCAAACAAGGGAAACATTTGAGACAGAAATTTAGAATGTCTATTTTTTTCAAGTGTAACATGCTACTTCTATCAGTGCATAAACCTGAATGTACATACACTATAGAAAGAAGTGGCCTTGTAATAAGTTCATGCAGAAGTATAAATTATGTAGACATTGTTAGGGGGATAACTGAAAGTGGATTAGAATTAAATTAGGGCCCAGAATTTAGTCTGGGATTTGTTTTCCAGTGGTTGAAAGAAAAATTCCTAAGTATTCAAAGGGAAGAAGCATTTCTCAACAGGCAAGTATTATGAATTCTAATTAAAAGCTCTGAAAAAATGAGATAAGTTGTGTTAAGGAAAAGCAGAAAACAGAGTTGCCTTTGGTTAAGAGTTCCACTATTTTTATAAGCAACTGACTTTTTGGGGAAAGTTGCTTTAAGCATTTTTTTTTCTGTGTGTATGTGTGAGATGGGGTCTCACTCTGTCACCCAGGCTAGAATGCAGGAGCACAATCATGGCTCACTGCAGCCTCAACCTTCTGGGCTCAAGCAATCCTCCCACCTCAGCCTCCCAAGTAGCTGGTATCACAGCCACACACCACTATGTCAGCTAATTAAAAAAAAAAAAAATTTACAGAGATGCAGTCTTGCTATGTTTCCCAGGCTGGTCTCAAACTCCTGGGCTCAAGTGATCCTCCCACCTTGGCCTTGCGAAGTGCTGGGATTACTGACATGCGCCAACATGCCAGGCCTAAACATTTTGTGTGTGTGTGTTAAAATATACATATAATAAAATTTGCCATTTTAACTATTTTAAAGTATATAGTTCTATGGCATTAAGTACATTCACATAGTTGTTCAAATATCACTATCCATCTCCAGAACTTTTTCCCAAATGAAACTGTAGCCACTAACTCCCCATTCCCTCCTCCCCACAACCCCTGGCAACCATAGTTCCACTTTCTGTCTTCATTATTTGACTACTCTAGGTACTTCATTTAAGTGAAATAATAAATATTTGTCCTTTAGGGACTGACTTTACTTAGCATGACATCTTTAAGGTTCACTCATGTTACAGCACATGTCAGAGTTTCATACCTTTCTAAGGCTAAATAATATCCAGTGTCTATATAGCCCACATTTTGTTTATCCACTCATTTGTCAATGAACACTTGAGTTGCTTCCACCTGTTGGCTACTGTAAACAATGCTCCTATGAACACAGAAATACAAATATCTATTTGAGTTCCTGTTTTCATTTATTTTGTGTTATACCCAGAGTAGAATTGCTGGATTATACGGTAAGTCTATGTTTAATTTTTTGAGAAACTCCATACTGGTTTTCACAGCACCTGCACCATTTCACATTCTTTCTAGCAATGTGCAAGGGTTCCAATTTCTCCACATCTTTACTAGTATTTGTTATTTTCTGGGTTGTTTGATTTTTAGTATAATAGCCATCCTAATGAGTGTGAAGTTTAAAAAAATATTTAACCAAAATCATAAATATTGGTTACAAATATTTAATGGATGGATTCCCTCTATTTCTGCCAACTTTCATTCCCTGAAAGAAGAAATAGGTAAGCATGACCTCACGAACCTCAGAAGGCTGAGAATGGGGAATTGGCACACACAGTGTGCGTAGACACAGACACACATGGACCATGTTCATACTAGGCTTCCAGAGAACCATTTAAAAATAGTTTGGCTAATGTAATCTTGTCTGTCTCTTATGTTCCTCCTTTCCCATCATCCACATTTCTTAAAGTTCGTGTAAGTAAAACATAGGAGAAAAAAACATAGCCACTAATTAAATAAGGCATCCAACTGTAAAAGAAGAGCAAACTCTGCTACATATAAGAAGACAAGCATTAATTCTGGCAACAGCAGCCACACAGCCACTTTAGACAATAACCTGAGCAGGTGCATGCTTTCTAGTATGTGTCTCCAGCTATGCAGGATAGAAATCACAATCCTTTCTATTTATCTAACGTCTAATACACTAAAACATGTTTACCCATGGGGGAGGAGAGCACGACAGGAATTGATGACTCTAATTTAGGAAACTAAGGTTCACAGAAGTTAAGTGACTTGCCCAAGATCATGTAGCTAGAAACGGCAGGTTAAGAATTCAGGTTTCCTTAGAGTTCAAAACTTTTATCACAACATTTTTGATAACCCCCCAAGATACTCATCCTTCTCTAATAGCCTTCCTTTGGTTCAAGTCCAGCTTCCTAAATCCTACCGCCTGATGGAGTTCCTGAGCTTCCTTGTAAGTCTGCAGGTATATTGTTCCTCATCATGTTGCCCAAAGCCTAAAGAAATCAGGCTAGGACCAAAGAAAATCAGTCAATGAGCCAAAAAGAAATTTAATCAACCCAGCCTTTCTTATTTATTTTCTTTGAATGAACATTTGTATCTGAGAATGCCAAGGTAAATTTGATGCAATAGGGACACTTGGATTATATTATGTTATTTACACACAAGCAAACAACAATTGAGAATTGAGACAAATAGGACAAATGGTCCCAAGTCCACTATTGAGGAAAAAGAAACTGATTTGGAATAAAAAATAGTCCAGCATGAATGTGTCAGTAATTAAGACTTATCCGGATAAGTTTGCCGTCTCTCAATTTGTCACAATAATGGCAAATATTTATTGAGAGCTTACTATGTGATAGGCATTATGCTGAGTTCAGCTAATTGACTCATTTCATCCTCCTCTAGACCCTGTAAGATAGGTGTTATTACTGCCCTTGCTTTAGCTCAGAGAAATTATGGTATTTTTCCCAACACAAATAGTAAGTAGAAAAATCAAGATTTCACCCCAGGTCTCGCCAATTTATAGCTCTTAGCCGTTATGCCCAGCAATAACAGAATAGTAAAAACAATGACAATTTGGTAGGCAAGTAAAATCAGTAGGCTGTTTACCATAGCTATAGAAGTATGCTATGCATAAACCTCAAAGATTGCGCAGGAAAAGTATCATCCAATCTCAAAGATGAGAAAACCAAAGAAGTTTCAATCTCAAAGAAGTCAGGCAGCTTAAGGGTCATAAAACAACGCAACACAACTCTCTCAACTCATATCTAAGGGCTAAGTCCACTTTAACCTTCCAATATCATTACATCATATTTAAACATTGACTCTATCTGGTCAAGGACGACAACATTTTATTTCTCCTGACCCTTTTGCTATCAGATCTGGCCTTGTCAGTTTTTCAATTTCATTCTTAGAATGGAAACTTAATTCACACAAGTTGAACAAGTAGTCATCAGGGGGCAAAACCCAGTGGATGATGGTTTTGTGTGCTGTTTGGAGACTGGGTGTTTACCACACAGCAGTGGATTTCATAAATTCCAGGGTCAGACAAGATTCCAGTAGCGACACACTTGACTAATATGAGAAAATGCAGGATTAGGCAATCAACAATGAGGAAGTCAGCCAAGTTGCCACCCAAAAATTACTTACCACAGCAGCTGCAGTCCAGAAATGCTAACAAGCCAGTCTCCCTAGGAGTGGGCCATACTCAGCTGTGGACCACTCACAACATTTTCTCACTTTATTTTGCTTCAGAGTCAGTGTACTGCAATGATTTCTCCTTTGCTTGCTTTATATGTTTAAAATTGTCTTCCCTAAAAGCTGAACTTAAAATTAATGTTTGCTACCAAAAGGGGGTAGCAGTGCCTGGTCATGTAGGCATATGTCCCACTCTGTCGGTACAGAGGGTAAGCAGCCTCTTCCTTTTTAAAAAATTTATTATGATGATTTACAAAAATTGAAGCTTACAGGATAAACACTCAACAAAAAAGTAGCCAGTCTCAAGAAACCAATTTTTATGTATGAATTAATATTATTTTATTAATCCATGGCCAGGATGATTCTTAAGATTATTTCTTAATTCTCTGAACAGCTTAAAAGAGAGAAACTCCTTCTTTTTTATTTACTTGCTTTGAGGTTGATACTCTTAGGTTTTTAACATAACTCTCTAGCTTTGACAACTCCTCTTATAATTTAAAATCCTTATAGCTTCCATTTACAAGTAAGGATTATATCTATTTTAGTCTCCTCAATCAGCTACCTAGGAGAAGACTTGCCACTTGGAAAGAGAAAGATAGCACCCACTCTCCAGTTCTCTTCTCCCAAAGTTGCCCGTATTTCCCTTCCCTGAAGCCAATCAAATACTTTATTGTTTCTCGCTAAGAGTAATTTTTCACTCTTAAGTACAAACAGCTCAACAAAAATTCCCGGTAGCATAAATATGCACATCAATAAAATAATTACTACTCACAATAGACTTTCCATTACATATGTTTCACAAGCATTGGTTTTCTTAAAAAGAACCACGCATACAGCACTCAAATTATTGCAGATTCTAACTCAGTAGAGTTTGATTTAATGTTTTTACAATATTTTTTTTAAAGAAGTGTCCTTCCAACGCTAAAGAAAAAAATCAGAATCAAGAAAATTCTGTTTCTTAGCAACAGAAAAATCAAACTTCTGTTACTAAGTTTGGTAACAGAACAGTACTCTAAATTATCCTCTGAACCACCTGATTTACCATGTGATGCTGGGCACATTGCTGCTAATTAATCTTCCTAATCTCGTGGGATCACAATATGAATAACAAGAATGAACATAAGACACATCTGTGGGAATTATGAGGGGGAGATTATAAAGAGTCAAACCTTGTCCCCATATTTAAATTTTATAACTATAACTACTAGTAGAAATATAACTACTACCCTCTCATATATATGTGATGTTATTAAGTTTATAAAGTGTTTTGATATGTTTCTTATTTCATCTTCATGGCTGCTATTTATTCATAGAAAAATAATTCTCAGTATCTGTAGCATTATTGTTAATGTCAATCCTATAGAGGCTGGAACAGGCTCAGAGAGGCTAAGTAACTTGCCTAACTAAGTCTCCTTGTTGACAATAGGTCTTAATGCAGTGTTTTCCGAATCCCTCGTTCTTACATCAAAACAGAACTGTGGCTGGGTGTGGTGGCTCATGCCTGTAATCCCAGCAATTTAGGAGGCCAAGGTGGGAAGATCACTTGAGCCCAGGAATTTGAGACCAGCCTGGGCAACATAGTGAGTGAGACCTCAATCTCTGCCAAAAAAAAAAAAAAAAAAAAAATACATACACACACACACACACACACACACATATATATATAAATAATTAGCCAGGTGTGGTGGCACACCTGTGGTCCCAGCTACTTGGGAGGCTGGGGTGGGAGGATCATTTGAGCCCAGGAGGTCAAGGCTGCAGTGAGTCGTGACGGTGCCACTGCACTCTAGCCTGGGTGACAGAGCGAGACCCTGTCTCAAAAAATAAAATAAACCAGAACGGCTCTAGTTCCTATCAATCACTCATCATGACATAGTGTGGTAAACTAATTTCAACTCTGAATGATTGATAATGGCTTTATGTGTTCTGTTTCCCAAGTAATAAGAACATTTTAGCACAAGCCTTTAGCGCTTTTCAAATAATCATAGCCAAATGAGAAAATTAATATGACAGGCAGATTGAACAAACATTTGGTGAGAAGGAAGAGGAGGGGATACAGTAGTTTGAGATCCCTCAAATCATATGATGCAGTAGCTGCCTGACAACTCTGCTAACACGTAAGACTAGATAGAGACAGGGCCATATCTACTTCCTGTATGGGACCCATGGCAATACTAGAGTCTAGCAAAAGGGTTGTCCTCTCTGCATGTGACAACAGGCTGTGTTCCACTCCCCCCACATACACCTTGTGCAGCTCCTATAATCTCATTTATCACACTTCTCCAGGTGAGAAATGGTGCCTTCTCACACCCCACCCAAAGTTGTTTCCTAAAGATCTTTCGCTAGGGCAGAGCAGAGAGTGAGACCAAATGATTCAGACAGCCATCTGATTCAGCTTTAAAAAAAAAAAAATCCTGGTGGGGCGCAGTGGCTCACGCCTGTAATCCCAGTACTTTGGGAGGCTGAGGCGGGTGGATCGCCTGAGGTCAGGAGTTTGAGACCAGCCTGGCCAACATGGTAAAACCCCGCCTCTATTAAAAATACAAAAATTAGCCAGGTGTGGTAGCAGGCGTCTGTAGTCCCAGCTACTCCAGAGAATCGCTTGAACCCAGGAGGCGGAGGTTGCAGTGAGCTGAGATCGTGCCACTGCACTCTAGCCTGGGCGACAGAGTGAGACTCTGTCTCAGAACAACAACAACAACAACAAAATCCTTTCCCTCAAATTACCTAAGAAATTGTCCTTTCCTTCTTTGCCCTGAAGACAGTTAATGGGGAAAGTTCCTCCCTCTGCACAGTGAATACATCCATCCACTATTCCTACCCTAACCCTAAGGCAAAACCTCCCACTCATCCTCCGTCTCTCGCCATCTCTCTGTTACCAACCCTCACTTGGCAATATCCTTCTTGACACGTGGCAGCTCCAATGAGGCACACTCATTACATAGCCACGTAAAAGATAAAAGGTGAATCTGGACCAACTTCTGGAAAATTTGGACTTAAAACATGGAAATGCAGGAGAGACAGGAAATAGAGTTAAATCCCCCAGATTTAGCTATACACATTAATTGAATTAACTAAATAATCATTTGGGTCTCATAGACACCAGCTATTTCCCTGATCCAAGATGTTATCTAGCAGCCTGTATCGCTTCCCAGTCATCCATCCTCTTGACAGGACAGAGCACACATAGAAAATGGTATTTGTATAGTCCTCTGGGGTAAACAGTTGGAGAGTTAGAATCTCTGATAAGGTCAGAGGCAACCAGTCCCCGGTCACTTGGGCCACTTCAGGTCCTGCTTGTCCAGACACAGAGAGGGCTGAGGAAACCAATATTGTGGTGACCAGCTACGAGGCTTAATCCTCATAACCCATAGCCCAATGTCCTCTTATCAAGGTGCTGTCCTATCTCACCCACAGCTCAGCCAATCCAGTAGGTCTTCCTTCCCCACCCTGATCACTGACCCATCAATCAAGATAGCCCTCTCATCCAAGGAAGAGGCCATTTCCCCTCCCACTCCACCCAGGCCAACTGCTATCCCACAGGTTACTCTCTTCTTCATTTTAAGGCAAGCTATTCCAAAGACTAAAAATGCCTAAGATTCTGTCCTAAAAGCTTATCTGCATAGTCATCTTCAAAAGCAAACATGAATTTCTCAAGGAACGGAAACACCCTTAGCCCCTGCCCTTTTCTCCATAGCATCATTCTCTGCCCCACCAAGCCGGAGCTAGGAGGGCACTTTCTCTAGGAGAGGTATGACCTGGAGATGATCTGCTTCAGAGCCACCTCAGGGATCTTGCTTAAAAATGCATATTTTCCCAGGCAAAGTGGCTCATGCCTATAATACCAACAACAGTGGAGGCTGAGGTGGGAGGATCTAAAGGCCAGGAGTTTGAGACCAGCCTGGACAACATAGTGCCACCCCTTTGGTACGAATTTTTTTTTTTTTTTTTGAGACAGACTCTTGCTCTGTCACCTAGGCTGGAGTGTAGCGGCACAATCCCGTCTCACCGCAACCTCCGCCTCCTGGGTTCAAGCAATTCTCCTGCCTCAGCCTCCCAAGTAGCTTGGACTACAGGCATATGCCACCACACCCGCTAATTTTTGTACTTTTTAAGTAGAGATGGAGTTTCACCATGTTGGCCAGGCTGGTCTCGATCTCCTGACCTCAAGCCTTCTGTCTTCCTTGGCTTCCCAAAGTGCTGGGATTACAGGCATGAGCCACTGTGCCCTGCCAATTTTTTTTGTTTTTAATTATCTGGGCCTGGTGTCCTGTGCCTGTGGTCCCAGCTGCTCAGGAGGCTGAGCCAGAAGGCATCACTTGAGCCCAAGAGTTGGTGGCTGCAGTGCTATGATGGTGACACTGCACTCCAGCCTGAGCAAAGGGCAAGACCTGTTTCTAAAATAAATAAATTTTAAAAATGCAAATATCCACCCCAGCCCCACCCTCTCCCCCCACCTTCCCCCACATTACTACATCGGAATCCCTAGGGTGAGGCATGGAATCTACATTTTAAACCAGCTCCCAAGGTGATTGTTCCGCACAGTTCCACGTCAGTGTTTGAGAGCGGCTCTGATTTATTCCAGTCCTCTTTCTTTACAGAGAAGGAAAGCAGAAAGCAGGCACCAGAGAGGTGAAATGAGCTTGTCCAAGGTCACAGGTTGTTAAGGTGACCAGAGCTGGACGAAACCCCACCTCTCTCGCTGACTAGCACAGCGCCAGCTAGGAAGAGCCTAGAATAGCGACCAACTGGCAGGCCAAACCGTCCCCTGCCCCTGCCCCTGCCTCGGAGAAGCGGGCCCCTGCACTCACCCGCTTGTAGATGTCCTCCCGGCTGGCCTCATACTTCTGTTGCATGCGCTCCTCCAGGAAGTAGATGAGCAGCTTGAGGCTGAAGTTCTCCTTCTTCAGGTCATTGAGGTGCTGGGACAGAGTGCGATATCCATTAGACATGATGGGCAACCCATGGGGAGGAGCGTGCCCGATTGCCCCCTCAACCCAGGAACATGGTGCAGCTGCACCGCAGCATGAAGCCAGCCGGCTGGGACGCTGCTGAGGCTGCGGACCGAGAGGCTGGGGCTATGGCGACATGGCCCCTATTGCTGGAGCTCTCTCCGGGACTCGGGACTGGGCTCACTGCTCTGGGTGCTGGAGCGCAGCACACTTTCCTTTTTTACCTCAGGGAGATATTTGCGGAATCCCTGACAGAGGAACATGCTGCGTGAACTCAGACACAAGTGGTGTAACCCGACTCCAAGCCAGGACTCTGCTGTCACCCTCCTGGAGCCTCCCAGGCCCAACTGTAGGCAGTTAACAGCTTCTCGGAAAAGAGAGACTGACCCCCAAGAGCTTCCAGGAAAGGGGGAGGGGAGATATTCAAGGTGACAGTGGGTTTGCAAAGAAGAGAAGGAAATAGAGGGTGGGGAGGGGGTATTTAAATGACTTGTGGCTGATTTGGACTATAAGACCAAAAGGAGTGTGGCCAGAAGCAAGAAATAAGGTTGCTATAGAAAAGACCATGTACATAAAATGGCCCACAAAGGTAACCGCATGTCAAATATCCCCTTTCTGTCCAGTGCAAATCTTAAAGAGCTTCTAACCAGAGGAGTCTCAATTGCCTTTGATAATCCAGAGCTCACTTCTAATGAGTTCCTTTGCAGTTTTCAGCCCCAAGCTTTTTGAGCTCTGAGGCAGTTCAACTAATAGCCTTTATTGCCATGAGTCTTCCCCCGAAACACACCATAGCTACCCGCAAAGAAAGAGCAAATCTTCTAGCTCAGCGGAATCTTTGCAGACTCTATTTACCAGTTACAAAGCTCAGAAAGAGGCAGGGTCAAGGTATCCTCCCTCCATGGAAGAAGGGATGGGCAGAAGAGAGTGTGGGAGGATGACAGAGAGGGAGCCGTCATCCTGGAGCACAAAGATTTCAGGCAGTCACTGGTTCTTAACTCTGGCACCTGCCAAGTGGAGCCGGGCACTCATCACCAGATCTTGCTCCTAAAGTAATTTAAGATCCTTGAGTGACAGCTGCAACATTAGCAGGAAGTATTATTTATACCACATTACATTGAAGGTGATGGGAGACAACCCCAGAGCACAGATAACAAACACGGGTTCTTTGTGGCAATAATATTAGGTTGAAAAAATATATATTAACATTCAAGATAAAGGAAACTACAAAATTTACACTTAATTCAAGCCCTCATTTCCTCCCCAACCTACCTGCTTTTCATTCTTCCAATTCCTTCTCAAACCTTCATAATCATTCCGGTCAACAACTCCTGAGTACTCACCAGGTAGGACATTGGGCATGAGGGATATATAGATCAAGAATGTCCCAACCCTCAAAGAGCTACGTGGCCATACAGCTGGCCATGATATGTTAAGATATGTGTTTTACATTATGATCCTCCAAACCTGTGTTTTTCAACTTTTATATGTTACGTTGCCATCTAGTACATATGCATACACTCTTAACTGAAGTAAATGTTTCAAAAAGTAATTGTCACCATCACTATGTGTGATGTCCTCTGATATTTCCTATTTCTTTTTCTGCCAGTGACCCACCCGACGGATTTCATGACCCACTAATAAGTTTCAGCCTGAGTTTAAAAAGCGTTGACTCTGGGGGAGCCCGTAAGAAAGAGTAGTCAGTTCTTACTGGGGTGATCAGAGAAAGCTTCATTAGGAGTTGAATTTGCACTTTGCCTTGAAAAATAAAAAATGTTTGAGTGGATAAAGTGGCCTCAGGAGGACATAATTAGAGTGAAGCATTCTCCCAAATAGATTTAGATTATAAATAGGCAAAATAGGCAAGCCCAAATATTTACCATTTGAAAAAAAAAAAACTACACATTTAAAATCCATTTAACTATTTTCACTAAATCTGAATTCTTAGAATTTGAGAATGCCAACTAGGCTTAGTTAGAGACAGTGAAGAAAAAAGTCTAAGTTAAAACAACTCAAAATATCCTTTTCCATTCCCAGTTCTCTTACTAAATAGCTATGTTATAGACCATTTCTCTAGAAGCCTAACTGTCCTCACTTAAAAAATGAAATGGCTTTAAAAATTGGTGATTTTTTTTTTTTTTTGAGACAGAGTCTTGCTCTGTTGCCTAGGCTGGAGTGCAGTGGTGCAATCTCAACTCACTGCAACCTCTGCCTCCCGGGTTCAAGCCATTCTCCTGCTTCAGCCTCCTGAGTAGCTGGGACTACAGGTGCCCGCCACCGCGCCCGGCTAATTTTTCATTGTTTTAGTAGAGACAGGGTTTCACAGCGTTAGCCAGGATGGTCTCGATCTCCTGACCTTGAGATCCGCCCGCCTTGGCCTCCCAAAGTGCTGGGATTACAGGCATGAGCCACCGCGTCTGGCCAAAATTAGTGATTTTTAAGGCCCTTTCCTGGTCTAAGCTCTTCAAGGTGATAACCCAGTTAATATCACCTCCATTTTGCTCAAGGGGAGCCAGGCTGCCAGAGTTTAGATAAGTGTTTAATCATGCTTTGGCTGTCTACTTAGATTCCTTTATCAGGTAAAATAATTTCATAAAAGTTTTACCGGAAGTAAAACTGTGTATGAATCCAGGGTATTCTTATGCATCCTAGATTTCTGTTGGACATTTATGCTTATTTCCTCCATGATATCTTGTTCTTCTATCTCTCTGGATCCTTTTCTGTGTTTTTTGCCAGCTCCTGAAAGTGGGTATTTAAATGATGGTAAGTCCTTAGCCTTCTACTTTTTTTTCTCTTCACATTTTTATCCATGGAGGTTTTATCCACTTTTAGGGCTATACTTTCACCTTCGAAACAATTCCCAAATCTCCAACCGAGTCTTCTCACCCAAGATCTAGCCGTACATATTCAACTCTTGGCTTAGATCATTCAACTTGAGTGTTCCCAAATTCCACCCAAGCAAAGCCTTTCCTCTTACCCTAGCCTGGAAAGACTTCTTCCTCTTTTGAACTCTAAGGCAGATATTAACATTCAACAAGTGTTCATATGCTGCCTTATGACGTGGCTTTTGTTATCTTCAAGGGTTATTTACATCTTTTAGAGTTATGCGACTTTTTGTGTGTTTGATCTTTCCAACTAGTCTGAAGCTGCCCAAGGAAAAAGTCAATGACTAACTAATACATCTTCATAAACTCCTACAGCTTCCATAACAACCTGAGACCTCTCCAACAGCATTCATCCCATTGTGCTGTCACAGTCTGTTTACGATGACCTCAACCTGGCTAGAGTGTTTTGAGAGCTGACAAGGCATATTTTGTGTCCTTGTATTCTTGTTGCATAGTACTCAGGAAGCACTCCCTAAATATCTGTGGAATCAATGAACAGGAAAATATTCCATAAACATTGTACGTTTTGCTTTGTTATATATGGGCTGGCTCACCTGTATTATTCTCATAGATTTCCAATAATATGAAAAAAGTTTGTTTTAATAGTCCTAAATAAACTATATTTGGTAGAACACTTATTCTAGAATACGTAGAAAAATGACGTTTTGTTCACTTACATTTCTAAGTTTACATGCCCACCCTGATCTTTTCCCTGAACTCCAATTGATATCTGACTGTCTAGTAGAAATCTCTGCTTGAATTTAGACATCACATACTTGTGATATCTAAAACTGAACTCCTGATCTTTCCCAGTAAACATGCTCCTCCCTCACTACACCTTTTTTCAATTTGTAACAACTCAATATTTTCAGATTTTTGAGCCCAAACCTTTGAATCATTTCTTGATTCATTCTCTCTCCTACATATCATCTGTCTGTAAATCTTACTATGTATATTATACATTATAGTATATATATTAATAACATATATGGTAGTATAATATATATGTTGTAGCTGTTGTATTATGTATGTAATATATAATACTATATTATATATACTATTATACTACTATATATATATTTTATATATATGTTATACTACCACTACTGCCACTGGTATTTCTACCACCCTGACCCACAGTACTGCCATCTTTTCCTTACATGATCTGAATAGCCCCTTAACTGGTGTTCCTGCTCCCACTCTTGTTCCCTTGTAGTCTATTCTCAGCACAGCAGCCACAGTGACCCTTTCAAAATACGTCAGATTACTCCTCTGCTGGAGAGCCCCCTGGCTTCCCATCTAACTTAGAGTGAAAGGTGATGTCCCTTCACCAGACTGCAAGGCCTGAGGCCCTACACCCTCTTCTTGCCTCTCCTATTACCTCCTCTACTTCTTCCTACCACTCTCTCTCTGTTCTCTGCTGTAGCTACACTGTTTCTCTTTGTTATTTCTCAAAAACAGGAAGCAAGAGAAGCTTTCTTTTCCGAGGCCTTTGAACTTGACCCTTCTGCCTGGCTGCCCTTTCTCTAGGGAGGTGCACGATTCTCTCCTCACCTTCTTCATCTTTGATTGAATGTCACCTTCTTCATGAAGTGAATACTCTTTAGGCACCCCATGCCTCATCCCAGCTCTCCGAATCCCCCTTCATTGTTTTTTATTCCGTAGCACTATCACCTTCTAAAATACATTTTCTTATTTATTTTGTTTCTTGTCTGTCTCTCCCCACCAGCATGTAAACTTCCTGAGAAAAGTGGGATGTTTTCTTAGTTTGTTCACTGCTGTGTCACCAGTGCCCAGAATGGTGCCTGATACATAGCTGGTGCTCAATAAATATTTGTTGAATTAAACAATGGATGAGTAATTAACCTGCTGATTTATTTCTCATTGGAGTAATACAACTTAATCGATACACAAGATTATGTAGATGTTTTAGGATAAAAAGCATACCTAATAGCATTCCTCCTTATAAAAAGATTATAAGTAAAATAAATTATTCTAACAGACTCATTTTAATACACCATGCAGAATCTGGACTTTCTACAACAGTTCCGAACAAATATGGAATCGTATATGACAAATTATAAAGGACAATATGAACGGTACAAATAGTAAAAACTGGGCCAGGCACGGTGGCTTATGCCTGTAATCCCAGCACTTTGGGAGGCCCAGGTGAGCAGATCGCATGAGGTCAGGAGTTCAAGACCAGCCCGGTCAACATGGTGAAACTCCGTCTCTACTAAAAATACAAAAATTAGCCGGGCGTGGTGGCATGTGCCTGTAGTCCCAGCTACTCAGGTGGCTGAGGCATGATGATTGCTTGAACCTGGAAAGTAGAGGTTGCAGTGAGCGGAGATCATGCCACTGCACTCCAGCCTGGGTGACAGAGCAAGACTCCGTCTCAGAAAAAAAAAAAAGTAAAAACTATAAAAATTAGGAAGGAGAGGTGGCCAGAGAAGGTACCACAGAGAATTGGCACTTTAGCTTGTCTCAAAGGATGAGTTGAGCTTGGATAGGCAGTGGGGAGAACACAAGGCAGTCCAGGCAGGTGGAACATAAGCGAAAGGGCAGTGTGCCCACCAGGCCAAAGCAAAGGGCACATACTGTCCTGAAATAGGCCACAGAGATGAGGGGAAATAAAAAGCCATCTCAAGGAGATCTTGAAAGCCAGGGTGAGAAGCCTGGAGTTTGCCCCTCCAGGATCCTGGCTCTCAATCTGGATAAGAGTGAGGGGAAGGGAAGTGGAGGTGGGGAGGAGGGCAGTGGGGGTGGGGAGGGCCAGGAACTGCTGACTGGGAAGATTATTTTCTTTGTGTATTGCTTAGGTTTCGTTTTACTTATTTGTTTTCTTGCAGCTTTAACAAACATCAGCGCTGCATGTGGAAACTTGGAAAAGAAAAAAAAAGCTTTAACAAACAAAAACACACATACCTGAGATGCACACAGCAACCTACTAGCTCATGGCAAACAGGCCTATATGTTGATAACCTCTGCATTGCTTAGGAAATAAAACACTGCAGATTCTTGAGCAAGGGGAAGTGCTTCTATCTTTGTTCTTCCTTTTTCTCCTAGTACATATAACATCTTTACTCTGGTCTCAGAATGTTTCTTCCAAACCTTAATGGCTCTCCCCTTCTTTTTCCTTAATTTCTTCATTCCACCCCTGGAATAACGTTCTAGTCCAGACTAGAAATACAACGTAAATAAAGACTCAATCAATGCCAACAGTAGGAGGAGGATTACCACCCAGCTGTTGCCTGTCATGCCCCATTAACACAACCAACTGTCAAGTCTGCCTTTAAAAAACCCAGCTTGACATTTGCTTCATCATATTCAGACCCCCCAGCTAGCTCATATAATGTACGTACTTGAAAACATATTAATTGTTTACCAATCTTTCTCCTAAAAATAAAGCTTCACTAACAAAAAATGATTAATCTTCTTAATGGACACATTCTTTTCAAATATAATCAAACTTCCACAATTTTAACTGTACTAATTTGATATCTGTGGATAATTCTTACCTTTACCTTCCTTGAAAATAAAAATATTTTAAAAATAAGTTAATATGGCAAATAGAAAAACAGAAGAGTAGTGCTTTAAGTAACCCTTGACACTTTACATCAATTTACACATAGACAATAAATATGATCACTATTATACATATTTATCTAGGGTGGGTAGCGTGGAACTGTGAAAAGAGCAATAGCTTTGAACCATGAAGACCAACGTTCAAATCCCGGCTCTCCTTTTTTCTCATTGGGTCGTTTTGGGGAAACTACTTAATAGTTAAGTATAGGAAGACAGTCAGAAGACTGGGATCTGGGCAGGATACTAAGAAGGTTGCAACTGTATCTGTAATGGTAACTTTTGTTTTTTCACCTGAGGAAAATAAACTAAAAATAATGTTTTCTAACATTTAGATATTCAACACATGGACAAGTGTTTAATTATTCTTTGTATATTCCTGTTGTTTGTAAAACAGCTTATAATTTTTAAAACTATTTTAAAGGGAATGAAAGTAGGAATTACAGGGAGGCAGTTATCAATTAGATATAAGGATGAATTCTCTAGTAGAGTTAGATGTAATAAAGATATTGCCACACTCTATCCATATGTTTATACATCAAATTTTTACTGAGTACATACATCATGAGACAAAATAAACTTCCTGTCACAAAAGGTGCTTGACCAAAACTCAAGAATCGCCTTTCAGGGATACTGTTAAAAGTTTTCCCACATCAGCTAGGAGTTAGCTCTAGAGGGCTTTTAAGATCTTTGGCCATCCCGAAATTCTATGCTTGAAACACATTTTCTCATAGAAACGCTCCTACCAAAGGCCAGTGAGAGAACTATCACTTTGCGAAGAATTTCAGAATGCCCACTAGCTCTCCTGTAGCCCTAAAAGGTAATGAGAGTCTACCTGTTCAGACTGAGAGCTCTGGCTGCCTTGTGCTACAGAAGCAGTAAGTGCATGTAAAGGACGCCATATTTCTAAGACAAAAGCAGTAACAATGACTCAAGGATGATGCCCAATAGACGATTTAACCTATAACTTTGCTAATTGTCATATTTTCAAAACAGCCCTATGGGAAGGGTACACAAATGTCTGGGGAGTATTTCCTGCTTTTTAGCACCCAGGGAACTACAACCAGGAGCCCAGCTTATTTTGGATTGGGGATGGGGATAGACAAGAAGAGATGGGGCAGGAAGAAGAGACGGCTGGTTTATTTTACATACACATATTTTATTTATAATACATCTCTGTGTCTAGGCGTCTCTATGCTGTTCTCATAAAATCTGAATTATACAAATAAAAAGTTTAATTCCTGGCTGTTTTGAATGACTTGGGCCTGTATTACAAAATTAATCAGATACAATTATGCTATCTTCACAACAACAATCATCTACATTGGTTTTGACAATGTACAAAGTACTTCCATGTGTATTATTTCGTTTATCTTTACCACAACCTTTGAAGTAGGAAGACATGATGATCCCCATTTTACTGCCTAGGACAGAGAGACATCAGGAGGTTAACTGACTTGTTCACTGAGAAAGCGGAGGAGCACAGACTATAACTCCAACAGTTTGACCCCATACTGCATACGCATCAGGGCCTTAATCATGAGACTGTATGACCCTTCTGAGCCTGGGATTCACTTGCAACTGGGTATTCCCTCTTCTACCTCAGGCCCCCTATACCTTTTCAAAAAGTGTCCTTCACTGTAAATAATCTTCCTGGTGGTGACCCTAAAGGATCTGACAACCTGGATCTATGTAAAAAAAAAAAAAAAATTGTTTTCTTCATTTTCAAGATGAATAAACTAAAGTTGGCTCTCAAAGGGTTAAACAAAGAGTTACCATGTGGCCTAGCAATTCCTTTCCTAGTTATATACCCAAGAAAATTGAAAACATATGGCCACGTGAAATCTTATATACAAATGTTCATAGCAGCATTACTCATAATAGCCAAAATTGGAAGTATTTCAAATGTCCTTCAACTGATGAATGGATAAACAAAATTTAGCATATCCAAATCATAGAATATTACTCAGCCATAAAAAGGAATGAAGTACTGATACATGCTACAACATAAATGACCTTGACAACATTATACGATAATGTGAAAGAAGCCAGACACAAAAGGTCACATACTGTATAATTCCATTTATATGAAATGTCCAGAATAGGCAAATCCAGGCAGAAAGTAGATTAGTGGTTTCCAGGAACCAGGGAGAGGGAAACTGGGAAGTGAGTGTTAATGAGTATGAGGTTTCCTATTGGAGTGAGAAACAGGTACTGGAATTAGACAGTGTGATGGTTGCACAACTCTGTGAATACACTAAAATCATAGAATTGTAAGATTTCAGAAGATGAGCTGTACAGCGTGTTAATCGTTTGAATAAAGCTTTGTTTTCAAAAGAAGACAAAGAAATAAACCAAAGCTGAGAGAAGTAACTAACCCAATCCTTTATCTTTTATAAGAGTTTTTTTAATGATAAAGACTCAGTTAAAGTCCAATTTGATTCAGTTCAGTTAAAGCTAAATGGCTTAGAATGAATCATGTCTAAATATTCTGTATACCAATCCTACCTATATTATAGGGCCCTAAAAGAAGGGTCAGACAAAGTATGCTCTAAGTGGCTCTCAGTACTGAATATTCACAGATTAAGTTTTACAAAAAGGTAAAGTTTTGTGATAACCCTCAGATAAAACAGAAACACATGACCTATGTTTTGACATAAAACATACGTATTTGGCCTGTTCTGAAAAATATGTGTAATTTTCACACACCACATTCTACCAAGGAAAATGTCAACCAGAGCCAACCAACTTGGTGTTCCACTCATCAACTCTTTTATGCCAACATGGTGTTTCTGCCCTTGTCTCAGAAGCCAACTACTGATACCTGCTTCAGAAAACTGACTATGAATTCCACAAAGTCCTGCTTTTTTCTTTTGGATTGTACAATCAACAAACAAGTCACCCTTCTAAAACTCTGTTTCTGAAATTTTAACATAATTCCTGAAGTTCCAGAGTCTCTTAAATGCTAAAATATTAACAATACCATTCCATTTTTTCCCCTAACACTCAGAAGCATACTGATACCCATCCTGTACACAGCCTTTTCTTGCCTGATAACAAGAGCACTAATGACAGAGCTATTGCATCAGGTTGATTAATAAACCCCGTCTTAGGCAGCCTCATCATGTGGATAAAGAAAAGGAGTTAAGATGATGTTCCTGCTGCCTTCCCCAACATAGAAACACACCCACAACACCCCCAATCCTGGAATAACCAGATGTTAGCTTCATCATCACACTAGAGCACTGTAAACCACATCAAAACAAAATGAAACAAATAACAACTTCCCTGGCCACCAAAAATAGATGGCCCAGCCAGAAATAGTGCTGCCAGAGGCAGTTAAATGAGCTGCAAGGCAGGAATGACAGTTGAGCTGCAGTGATGCTGGGGCCTCCCAAGGATTACCAGACTCCAAACTAGATTCTCCATCACTTTGGTCCAATCAACATCAGCAGGACTTGGTATTTGTTCACAATTGGTCCAACTCAGATTATTTGCTGAGCTTCTGGAATTCAGAGAGAGTGACTTATGGGCTCACCTTTTTCTCTAGATTTTAAATAATCCTTTCTCCATTTTTTTCTAGGAGTGAAGGCAATTTTGAAGGCATGACTACGACCTGCTCTGGCCACAAGAGCTAAGAGTTGCCAGGTGTGGTGGCTCAAACACTTTGAGATGCCAATCCCAACACTTTGAGAGGCCAAGGCAGGAGGATTGCTTGAGGCTAGGAGCTTGAAACCAGCCTGGGCAACACAGTGAGACCCCATCTCTACAAAAAATAAAAAAACAGGCCAGGCGCAGTGGCACTTAGGGAGGCCAAGGTGGGTGGATCACCTGAGGTCAGGAGTTCGAGACCAGCCTGACCAACATGGAGAAACCCCGTCTCTACAAAAAATACAAAGTTTGCCAGTGTGGTGGCACATGCCTGTTATCCCAGCTACTCAGGAGGCTGAGGCAGGAGAATCGCTTGAACCCGAAAGGCAGAGGTTGCAGTGAGTGGAGATCACGCCATTGCACTCCAGCCTGCGCAACAAGAGTGAAACTCCATCTCAAATAAATAAATAAAATAAAGTTTTAAAAAGTCAAAATTATCCAGGCGTGATGGTATGTTCTTGTAGTCCCAGCTACTCAGGAAGCTGAGGTGGGGGATCACTTGAATCCGGGAGGTCGAGGCTGCAGTGAGCCAAGATTGTGCCACTGCACTCAAGTCTGGATGACAGAGCAAGACCATGTCTAAAAAAAAAAAAATAATAAACAAAACCAAAAACCAAGAGTCCACAGTGATACCATGAATGCACATGGCTGCAACAATAATGCCTTGACCAGAAGTAGGGGGATAAGGGAAAAGATAGAGCCAACATGAACCCCGATTGACCCTCCCTTGCTCCATCCATGACAGAAAGCCTCCTATTTCTGAATTCACCAGGCTCATGCTGCCTCCAGGACTTTGCATGGGTAGCAGCATTAGCCTAGAATTTCACTTCTCTTCAATTCCCACCCATCTCTCACTTAACTAATCCCAACTCACCCATAAGGATCTAAGTCAGATATTACCTACTAAAAGAAACCTATCTGGCCTTAATGCCTGGGCAAGGGCTTCTCCTGAATGCTTCCACAGCACTGCGGACCTACTCTTATTGTGGCCCATTTCACAGTATATTGGGATTATCTGTTTGACTCTCTCCCCAGTAGATCTGGAGTTCCTTAACAACAGGAAGAATCTTCTTTACTTTTCTTCCAAAAACAGAAATCGCTTTACTGTTTTTTGTTTGTGTTGCTGTTGCTTCAATGGTCATAAAAGTACTACATGTGCCTGTTCCAGTTGTTCTCTTTCTCAGTGGAGGGCATAACCTAGTAGTTGACCAAGCAAGAAAACTTGACATCATTTATTCGTTCAAAACAAACAAAAAAGAAGAAAAGAAAAGGGCATGCCTACTATGTACCAGGCATTATGCTAATCACTGTATCTAGAAGTGAAAAGACAACCACTGTCCCTGCTATAGTGAGCTCATGTTCTAACAGAAAAGGCAGACTTTGAACAAATAACTCACGTTATTGAAGAGAGAGGTGAAGGTAGTCTGAAAGTTTACGACAAGGTGACAGTGGGTAGGATGTGAGTGAAGAGATGAATTGGTGATCTGTCATCTTTGGGTTTCTTCAGCCTCACTGGTTCTACATCCAGTCAATGGCTTAGCTCTATCAATTCTGCCTCTGAAATTTCTTTCACCTGTCCATTTCTCTAATTTTTATACTGGCATCTCCACCAACCTTTGCCTGGAATACTGCAACTGTTTTCTCTGCCTCTAGACTACTCCTCCTATGCAGAGGCCATAAGGAAGCCAAAAGGATCTTTCTAAGAGGAAAATCTGATCATGTCACCTCTCTGTCTAAAAGCTTTCAGCAGTTCCCTTGAGCTCAGATAAAATTTAAAAGCCTTTACATAACTTGCAAGACTCTGTATGATGACTCCTCTCTCTTTTCTCTGGTTTCAGTTCTCTGCATTCCTTACATCCCATTCTCTAGGAATACTGACTATGGTTCTTTCTCTCATCGGGATCTTGATTCAAGCTATTTCCTATGCATGGAACCTTCTTCATTCTCACACTACCACCCCCTTATTAGTGGCTACTTCTTATTCCTTCTTCAGGACCCTGGTTAGATGCAGTTTCCTCTAGGAAACTTTCCCTGAATCCCCCAATCTCTTCAGATTGAGTAAGTGCCCAGTTATATATTCCATAGCACTCTTTATTTCTATTACAATAATAATTACATTCTGTTGGAATTTGCTAATCTGTAGACTCTATGAAGGCAGGAACCATGTTTGCCTATTCAATATTGTATCTGCAATGCTTAAGGTATGCTGCACATAGTAAAAGCACTAGAATATTTTTTCAATGAATAGATAATTAAAATAAATATAATACTCAGTTATAAAGAAGGCAATAGGCTAATTCCATCATCCAGACATAATCAATATCAATGTTTTGGTATGTATCCTTCCAGACATTTCCATCTTTTCTCCCTCAAAAATGAGATCTTATTTTTTGTAATATTCAGTCAAATTGTTGTTGCCGTTGTTTTGTTTAATCTTAAATTTGTTATAATGGACATCCTCCCAAGTCAGTACATTGCTCTATAATGTTCTATTGTATATATATTCCACACTTGAAATAATCCTCACCTTGAGTACTAATATTGTATTGGTATAGAGAATACTGAAATATAAACACTCATCCTTGAACATACATTTTCTTTTTTTTGTTTTTTTTGAGACGGAGTCTAGCTCTGTCACCCAGGCTGGAGTACAGTGGCAATCTCAGCTCAGTGCAACCTCTGCCTCCTGGGTTCAAGCGATTCTCCTGCCTCAGCCTCCTGAGTAGCTGGGATTACAGGTGTGCACCACCACACCTGGCTAATTTTTGTATTTTTAGGAGAGACAGGGTTTTACCATGTTGGCCAGGCTGGTCTCGAACTCCTGACCTCAGGTGATCCGCCTGCCTCAGCCTCCTAAAGTGCTGGAATTACAGGCGTGAGCCACCACGCCCGGCCGAAAATACATATTTTCATACATTCATTCTTGATCATTGTGCAACTAACAGCTAGAACATGGCCTGGCACACACGATGCACTCATAAATGGATGAGTGGATTAACAAATGAATAAGGGGGTCAGCTATCAGTAAGCATAATAAAATTGTGGCTAAGAGTTTAGGCACTAGAACCAGTACACTTATGTCCAAATCCCAGCTCCAGCACTTGCCATCAATTACTAGTGTTTTCCTAGCTTCAGTGTCTCTCTACAAACAAAGACAATGGTTGTACCAACCTCAAAAGACTATTAGGAGAACTGAATAAGATAATAAGGTCAAGCGCATTCTCAGAACTTGGCACACTGTAAGCACTTACAAATATTAATTGGTATCATGATCTTTGTTGCTATTTTTTAAATTTAGTATTGGAATGGAAATTATCATTAGAATGGAAACTTTGCAAAGTCCACAGAAAGAAAGATAAGGCTTCTCTTTGAACAACGGGAGAAGAGAAGAAAACAAGTTTTAATGAGGAGACAGAAAGGAGATAATTTAAAATTACGAAAAGAATTATTCTAATTCAAGTGCTACATTCTCTGTGAAAGTGGTTGCTCTCTTTTCTGTGTTGGTAATCATACCTTTCAGAATGTTCAGGGTTTTCCAACTTTTGTAATTTCATTCTTTTTGATAAAGTTTCTTTATTAATTGCATGACCAAATGTAAGCTAATATTTACAACTTTGAAAAGTTTACACACGCACACGCGCGTGCACAAATTAGAAAAAAATGTTCTATCCCAGTATTTAAGATTTATTTATTTATTTGAGACAGAGTCTCGCTTTGTCGCCCAGGCTGGAGTGCGGTGGCTCGATCTCGGCTTACTGCAACCTCTGCCCTCTGGGTTCAAGCGCTTCTCCTCCCTCAGCCTCCTGAGTAACTGGGATTACAGGCGTGTGCCACCATGCCTAGCTAATTTTTGTATTTTTAATGGAGATGGGGTTTCACCATGTTAGCCAGGCTAGTCTCGAACTCCTGACCTCAGGTGATTCGCTCACCTCAGCCTCCCAAAGTGCTGCAATTACAGGCATGATCACCACACCTCGCCATATTTAAGTTTTAAAAACATACATTAGTTTGGCAAGTACTCCCATCTTGAAATATCTCTTTCAATATTGCCTTAGATGTTATTTAAATTAAATCTTGTATAATTTAAATTTTTTTATGCCCCAATCAGATTGTACATTCTTTGAGAATGGAATCTCATGTCCATCTTTGTATATTCTACAGCACTCAGAAGCATTCCTTTTACTCTGTAGTTCTATAAGAAAAAAAGTAATTGATTTGATTCATATCTTTGGTAATGTTGCTTAGGAAAGAAAACTTTGCATGGAAAGTCTGTGGAATGCCTGTGTGTGGAAGCCTTCTGTTTCCCTTTTTAAACATGAGATTGAAAAGGGAAAACAAACTGCACTTGTGATTGCTGAAAGTTTAATATTTACCCCCTGCCTCCTAGTAACTTTTTGAATGTCTTAAGATACCAGTGAAAACAAAACCAGTATGTTTGGGACACTGTGGTTTGGAAGAATGAATGCATTTTTTTAAAATAAAAATGCACTTCACTAGTAGTATTCATTTTCCAAGGCTGTAATTAGAGAGAAACACTCGAGAAGCACCAAAATTGTGGAACATAAAGAGGGCAGTGACAGGACCCCAATTAACCTAAATTAGCACAGGTTACCCAGACTGTGATAACTCAGAGCTCCAGAAACTCCCCAAAATGAAAAAGCCTTCTGCTTTTAGCACTTTTTTTCTTCTTTTTTCTCCCCAAAGACTTCAAGATTCAAGTGGAAAAGTTCACCAGGATGGGTGGGACCTGAACAGGCTGACTCACTGCGGTTAGATTCAGACTGCCAAGGAAAGCTGCAGAGTACAGTTAGGCATACACTATAGCTGGTTTTGATGATATTTTCTTGTTAAAGACAACATTATTAGAAAAATGTGTAAACAGGACAGGGCAGTGGAGGCCCCCTCTTGATTTTATAGCCAAAGACTCCCACCCTTCCGTGGCTTTTCTGTACCGTCTGCCATGTTGATTCTATGTAAAAAACCCAAATGCAGGCATTCCACCAATGTAATGCTCTCCTTCTCTGAGAGTCCTTTCATTTCCCCAAGAGCTTTGGAATCATTGGAGTTACAGTGGTTCCGTTACTTTATTCTTATATAACTTTGGGCAAGTTATTTGAACCTTGATCTCTTCACTAGTATAATGGTTGTAAAAATAATATCTATCTCATAAGTTAGGAAAATGAACTGAAAATACACTAAATTAAATATGTCAAATATCTAGAAAAGTACCTGGTGCATAATGAGCACTCAAATAGTATTTATTGTTATTAGCTACTATTGTGATCTTCTTAATAAATCCTGTCAAATATTATTTCAAAAAGACTCTTTCTCTCCCGTCCTTTTCATTTTTAGTTTTATCGTTCCATTTAAAGTGGAAAAGAGGCCAGGCGCGTAGTTCGCGCCTGAAATTCCAGCACTTTGGGAGGCCAAGGAGGGTGGACCACTTGAGGCCAGGATTTGGAGACCAGCCTGACCAACATAGCGGAACTCCATCTCTACTAAAAATGCAAAACATTAGCCGGGTGTGGTGGCGGGAGCCTGTAGTCCCAGCTACTCAGGCAGGAGAACTGCTTGAATCCAGGAGGCAGAGGCTGCAGTGAGCTGAGATTGCACCACTGCACTCCAGCCTGGGTGACACAGCAAGACTCCTTCTCAAAAAAAATGAACAATAAAAAAATAAAGTGGAAAAGAAATGTACATTTCTTGACTTCCTAGTTTCCCATCCTACCCAATCAATTAACACGCCAATACCCTCCTTAAAACTGTTCAACTTATTGTGAATACCAGGTAGAGGCAGAAGAGATACAAATCCAATAGGATATCTAATTTTTAATACTTTTCAGCTAGTTTAGTTGATGAATATTTACTGAGCACTTACTATGTACTACATTATGCTATATTCTAGAGACTAGAAAAGAATGGGCAAGAGGTGTTTTCTGCCCTCAAGGAGCTTAGAGTCTTGGTATATATTCTGGGATTAGAGAGTAAGAGAAGGCATCCTAAAATTAAAAAATAAATAAATTTAAAAAGGCACCTGAGCTGAATCTTGAAGGATGAGTAAACTTTAACCAAATAAACAATAGGAGAGAAAAGGTTTTCAAGGCAGAGGGAACAGCAGGTACAAATAAATGAAAGTATGAAACAGCTTTGAATTGCAAGCAGTTCAGAATTAATAGAGTAAAAATCATGTAATAGAGAATATTGGAAGAAAAAAGTGGATTTACAGTTTACCTAGAGAGGCAGGAATCTGGTAGAATTTCAATCTGCATCAATCTAAATAGGAGGAACTAGTGATTCCATTTCCAAATAAGCCAACACCTTCATTAGCACCAAACTTTCACCAGCTGAGTTCCCCAACATAGGACATGCCCACTATCTTTAGGTCACAAAGACATCAGGTGTTTTCAGGCTCAATCATGAGTTATTGGGCAAGTTCCTTTGTTATTCTTTTTGCCATTAGTTCATCATTTGTAAACTGGAATAATAATCATGGCTTTTCTTTTTTTTATTATATTTGAAATTCTGGGATACATGTGCAGAACGTGCAGGTTTGTTGCACAGTATACGTGTGCCATGTTGGTTTGCCGCACCCATCAACCCGTCATCTATATTAGGTATTTCTCCTAATATTATCCCTCACCTTGCCCCACGGCCCCTGACAGGCCCCTGTGCGTGATGATCCCCTCCCTGTGTCCATGTGTTCTCATTAGTCAACTCCCATTTATGTGTGAGAACATAGGGTGTTTGGTTTTCTGTTCCTGTGTTAGTTTGCTGAGAATGATGGTTTCCAGCTTCATCCACGTCCCTGCAAAGGACATGAACTCATTCTTTTTTTATGGCTGCATAGTATTCCATGGCGTATATGTGCCACATTTTCTTTATCCATTCTAACATTAATGGGCATTTGGGTTGGTTCCAAGTCTTTGCCATTGTTAATAGTGCTGCAATAAACATACGTGTGCATGTGTCTTTATAGTAGAATGATTTATAATCCTTTGGGTATATACCCAGTAATGGGATTGCTGGGTCAAATGGTATTTCTAGTTCTAGATCCTTGAAGAATTGTCACACTGTCTTTTACAATGGTTGAACTAATTTACACTCCCACCAGCAGTGTAAAAGCGTTCCTATGTCTCCACATTCTCTCCAGCACCTGTTGTTTCCTGATTTTTAATGATCGTCATTCTAACTGGTGAACATGCCTTTTCACAAGGTTGTTGTAAATGAGATCATGCTGTCACATACTTAGAGCAATATCTGCCACATAGAAAGTGATCATCAAATGCTAGCCAGTATTATGTATGTGCTGCTGAAGTCTTGCTCATTCCAGAGATGCTGCAGCTGGGTGCTGTGATCAGTGAGAAAGCATAGGGCAAGGGATTTTTCTCAACACATCATTGTGACCATTTGTAGGTAAAATTTATTTCTGATCCAATAATGTGTTCAGATTTATGATCATGGTACATAAACTTATGGCCCTGAAAAAGTCACAATTTCTGTGAGTCCTGGTTCCCTCACTTAAAAAATGGGGAGAGTGATGCTTGTTCCGTGTCTTATAAAGACAAAATAAAACAACTTATGAGATACACTTAACCCACTGCTCAATACACTAAACCCACTGCTCAATACACTAAACCCACAGAGAATCCCTTCATCAGTGGATTCTCTGAGTGGGGAAAAGCGCCTACATAACGAAGTTGGTAAGGTTGGGAAATTAATTAAATCACTCACTCATTCAAAAATACAAATGAAGCATATATGCTAAGCAATGCCCTCCTTTCATCATGGAGTGTAATACCTATTGACCTCAACCTGACAAACATACAATTGGAGTTTGTATACACATACAACCATGCTGTTGGTTGTGGGTGGAGAATGAAAGAAAAGAAACACTGTTGTATGTTGGAAATGTTGCTTTCTTTGTCCCTTTTTTCTACACCAACATAAAGATAATTGTCATTTTCGCTTGTTAATTGACTAATTATGTTTTGGTTCCATAATGTGCCAGTATTTGCATTTTTAGTCTGTTATCTCTTTCCCTGTAATCAAAGGGCCTTTTTTTCTCTAGAATTTCCTACATCAGCAAACATTTTAGAGGTAACTGCATTACTGAACAATTATAATTACTTTTGACAGATTGAGTACTTTTAATATTACTTCTCTCCTGTTCTAACTCTCTTTTTCTTACCTCTCTATAGTCCAGTCTCTTATTTGAACATATCTCTCTTTCTTCCCCCAAATCTCCCCTCTGTCTGGAATATTATACTCTACTTCTCTGACTAGTAAAATCTAACTCAGCTTTGGAGACCCTGCTCAACGTGAAGCCCCCAGGAGAAATGTCCTCTGGTAAGAGGCCTTTCCCTACTCCTTTAATAAAAGTAGACATTTTCTCTCAAGATCTCAGAGTGTACTGTCCTTATCTCTATGAAAGCACTTGCCATGCTATATTGTATTTAATGCAATGTCTGTACTTCCAAATAGACTATAACTATCTAAGGGCAGGAACTAAAGTATCTCATTTAATGTGATCATGTGTTTGTTGCATGGATAAATGAAATAAGAAGGGATTCCTGGCTGCTTCTTCCAGGCCTGTATCCCTTTGTCTTTAAGCCCTGGAGGAGTCGACCCTACATTGGCAAAAAACATTTAGCATGTCCCTTCCTCTCTCTGAGTACTGCTACCTATCCTATATCCCAAGGCTATCGAATGCATATTTTAAACTTTACAGAAAATACCATGTTATTTAGTATTTTACCATTTTTAGGGTAGGGCATAGTAATGTGTTCCTATCTCTCCTATATTTTTTCTAACCAATGTTTTCTCTAATTTTTAAACCCTTTCACGGAGGCGTTTTGTATTTTAGGTGCTGTCATTCAGAGTCCACAGGATGGATGAATGGATATGAAAATGAACAAACGTGTGACACAACACTGCATGATTTACCGGCAATGACTTTCTGATCAAGCCTGAAGTGGGTTGTAGCCTCTTTATTTACTTTTTATTTGACACATAGCAGAGAGAGATTTAAACTATCTCTTATTGGCCTTTTCCCTGCGTCTTAGCTTGGTTTCTGTCAGTGTTTCCCAGCATCGAGAAATAAGGACTAATCTGTCATATTAGATCTAAACTCTAAAAGAAAAGGACTTTGGGCCTTATATCTGCCACCCATTCTTTCAATGGAGGTGACACCCCTCATTTCTATATTTCCAGTCATCTCTCAATGAAAAGGAACATGCAGACTGGCTCGCCTTTGGAGAGCACCCCACACAGTTTTGAGGAGCTCTGCAGCTCTGCTTGCCCTTTCTGCATCACAGCAGATCCAAAAGGTGAAAAAAAAAAAAACAAAAAAAGGAGGGGGTTGGGGTGTTAGCATCCTTGCTTCCCCCACCAGCACCACACAGCTGTTTGGAGGTTTAGTCTTCAAAAGCCTCTTGATTACCATGCAAACTCTCCATGTCTTAAAAAAAAATACACACAGTATACATGAGAATGCTAAGCATAAAATTTGAAGAATAGGCTGTTAATTCTTAGGCACATGTTATATGGTGCATATCCTTTGCCCACAGAAATATCTGGTAAGATGTACAGAAAGTATTGGTGAAATATTTCTACTTACAAATTGAGGGAAGATGGGGTAAACCCATGTCAACACAAAATTTTTTGAGATTAGAATTTTACTTTTTTTTTTCTGTCAAAAGTTATCAATTCCAATTCCAGAATGAGAGAAACCCCAGTATCTCACAGACTATTTACACATTATTTATGTGGGACCTGCTTGCTGGGTATCCCTGAGGGGGCACCAAAGAGCTATTTCTTTCTTCCTTTTTTTTTTTTTTTTTAGAGCACAAGCGTGTAAGAAATTCTGGCTGCCTGTTTCTGGGCTATTTAAATCCCAGTAGACATGCTCTCTTGTACAGACTTCCTGGGCTCAACCCAGCTCACAGGGAGCTGGGGAATCTGTATTACATTATCAGTTATTGTTTTTGGTCAAATCTAAGGACAAACATATGAAGAAGCAGAGCATGCAGCACTGGTTCAGGAGGTTCAAGCAACATTATCAGATTCTTGTTGAGAAACAAATGGTTGTTACTGTGCCACCGCACACTGCAGACAATTCCTAGATATCGAGAGAGGTCCAAGCTAGCAACAGAGAATTTAATACTAGCTGCTGGACCGGGACTCCTGGGCTCACTATGTTGCAGCTACAGATTCTCAGAATGCCATTTAAACTTCCTGAGTTTATCTGAGAAGTAAACCAAGGGTGTAGGTGATGAGGCAGCATTTACTGGTACAGTTAGTCCCCCCTTATCCACAGTTTTGCTTTCCATGGTGTCAGTTACCCACAGTCAACCACAGTCTGAAAATGTTAAATAGAAAATTCTAGAAATGAACAACTCATAAATTTTAAATTGCACATTGTTCTGAGCAGCATGATGAAATCTCGTGCCATCCACTCTATCTCACCCTTGAATCATCCCTTTGTCCAGCACATCCAGGCTGTATATATCGCCCACCAGTTAGTCACTCAGTACTGTCTGGGTTATCAGATTGTTGCAGTATCACAGCGCTTGTGTTCAAGTAACTCCTATTTTACTTAACAATGTAAAAGTGCAAGAGTAGTAATGCTGGTATATTGTTATAATTGTTCTATGTTATTATTAACTACTGTTAGCCTCATTAACATTTAATTTATAAATTAAACTTTATCCTAAGTATGTATGTATAGAAAAAGACATAGTAAATATAGGGTTCAGTACTATGCAGTTTGAGGCATCCAAAGGAGGGACTGCTGTACAGGCAAGGGTCCATAACCACACCCCCCAGCACACAGCTGACAGAGCATATGTTTATTGGGACATGCTCTTGAAAGAGACACCATAATGATAATACCATCCATAATCCGGACCAATCCATGGGTCATATTTTTATCAGGCATCACTATTCCATAGTACTGCTTCTAATTGGGATAACAATTATCCACTCACATGACTTACCTTCTCAAAGTCTCGAAGAGCCTGGGTCTGTACCTGAGGGGGTTTCTCAAATGCTCTCAAGGAATATGTCTGCACAAACGGGACCTTTTCACCACTTCTCCAGATCTGTGACTGCACTGGAGGGCCTCGATCTTTAGTGTCACTAAGAAAAGCTGTCAATGAAACAGAACAACAAAAAAAAAAGGTTTATATAATAACAGCACTAGGATCATTCTAACTGGCACATTCCAGCAGAATTCAGTTTCTGCAAAATACAAACTCAATCTAGGCCACATAGAAACAGTTTACTTAAAGTAGTCTGTGGTAGATCATATTAATAGCCATCCCCAGTGAATCAAACTAGTTTGGGTCCATAGGCCTTTGCAATGTGATACTCCTGCCATTAAGAAGTAGAGCCTATTTCCCCAACTCTTGAATCTGGGTTGGCAAAGTGGCTTGCCTTGACTGGCAGAATATGATATAAATGCTACTGTATGAGTTCCAGAGACTAGCTTTGAGAGGCCTTGCATTTCTGCTCTTGCCTTATTAGCATCCCAAGACAACCATGCTGTGAAGAAGTCGGTCTACCCCACTGGAGAAGGAAAGGCTGTTCAGGGAAGTGAAGATGCCCCAGCTGACAGTCACCACCTGCCAGACATGTGAGCAAGGCTGTCTGAGACCTTCAGTCTCAGTCAAGTCATCAGAAAGTTGCAGCCAGTTGAGTGATCCCAAGTGAGACCAGCAGCGATAATGCCCAGTTTGCCAAAACAGAATTGTGAGAAATAATAAATCATTGTTGTTTTAAGCCAGGTGTGGGCAGACATTTTCTTAAAGGACCAGACAGTGTTTTAGGCTTGTGGGTCATATCATCTCTGGCACAGGTACTCAACTCTACCCTGTAACACAGAGGAGACACAGACCATGTGTAAATGAATGAGTGTCACTGTGTGGCTATAAATCTTTACTTATAAAAACTGACTGTTGGCTCATGGGCTGTAGTTTGCTGCTGACCCCTGTTTTAAGTCACTAAGTTTTGGGATGGTTTGTCACATAACAAAAGGTAACCAAAACAGTCTAAAGGAAAGAACCAAGCTGCTAGCAAACTATCTCTACCGATAATTTTTCAGGTTACTATTTAGTAATAGTAACAATTATAACAGCCAACATATTTAAAGGGCATTACATGTTACAAAATAGTTTCACATGAATTATTTCATTTATGAAGTCGCTGCAATCAGTGAAATAGACATAAGTGATTATTAAGTCCATTTTACTGATGAATAAGTAAAGATTCAGAAAGTTTGCTTGACCAAGATCACATTGCTAAAAAGTGGCAGAACCAATGCCATATTTTCTCCATCTGTCTTTCTTAGCAGTATGCTACTACTGTGTTATTTTAGCAATTAAAGGGATTGCAATAGGTCTGAGAGTGGGGAAAACAGGTAAAGAGGCAGAGACTCAATCACTCCATTAACCAATGGAAGCATTGCTTTGGGAGAACCTAGTGGAATCTAAGCTGTAATTAACCCTATGCTTGCTTTTGAGAAGTAACATTGTTAAAGAATGAGAAATCAACCCTGCCTCATGTTGGGGCAGGGTTGGAGTTACAGACAGGTAGAAAACATAGAAAGCTACATACTTTCTTGGCTGACAGAAGGAAATAATGAACTTTTATTATGGAACTATTTTTTAAATAAGAAGACAGTCATGGCAAAGCATTAAGCGCTACAGACAGTGTCAGGGCAAGTAAGAGCAAAACAGGTACTGGGTGACTGCCTGGCTGAGGAAAAGTTAACTAAACACTTGGGGAAAGGAGATCCAAGGGAGTAAGAGGCAAAATGCCTTTGCATGCTTTTCTTCCGATCTCTTTTTCTTTCTCTCCTTCTCACTCTCTCCCTTCCTTCCTTTCTTCCTTTCTCTTTCTTTTTTTTTCTCTTTTCCCCCACCTCTCTGCCTGCCTCCTTCCTTCCCTCCCCTCCCCTCCCTTCCCCCTCCCTCCCTCCCTCCCTTCCTTCCTTCCTTCCTTCCTCCCCTCCCTCCTCTCTCCCTCCTTCCCTGCCTTCTTTCCTTCGTTCTGCCAACTTGCCAGAAGGAGCCCAAGAAAAAGCACCCAGATGCTTCAGTCAACTTCTTAGAATTCTTCTTTTTTTTATGTTCAGAAAAGATGGAAATTCATTTCTGCTAAAGAGAAAGAAAAAATTTGAAGACAGGGTGAAGGTGAACAGGCCCATTATAAGAAAGAAACAAAAATCTATATTCTGTCTACAAGGAAACGAGAGAGAGAAAGAGAGAGAAGAAAGAAGTTCCAGGATTCTAATGTACCAAAGGGATCTCCTTTTTCTTGTTTTGTTCTGAAAATTTCACCAAAAGAGCACAGGAGAACATCTTGGCTAATTCATTGGCGATGATGTAAGAAAACTGAGAGAAATGAAAGAAATGAAGAATTACTGTTGCAGATAATATACAGCCTTGAGGAAAGAAAGGCTTTTAAGATTATAGATATAAAGGCTATTGCTGTATTCTGGGATAAAAGAAAGTCTGATGCAGGGAAAGGGGAAGTTGGAAAAACTGGAAAAAGAAAAAAGAAGAAAAGAAAAAAAGGACTGGAAAGACATTGGTGAATAGAAAGATGAAAAGGGTGAAGAAAAAAATGATGATAGTCAATAGGGTGGTTTTAAAAGAGGCTTTTGTTTTATTAATTTGTTTTTGTGTGAGTGTGTGTGTATGTGTTTGTTTTTTGCCTAAAAGTATTTAACTCCCCATTACACCACTGATTTCAAAGAAAAAAAGCTGAAATGTAAGATCATATGATTTGTTTTTAAACTGAACACTGTATACTGTCTTTTTATTTTTGCAAAATTAATGTAGTATCCAGTGTGTCTTTAGATAACCCTGTCCTTAATGATATTTTCAATAGCCACTAACCTTGCCTGGTACTGTTTCGGGGTTTAAACTAGAACAGAAATCTAAGGCAGGCTTTATTAGTGCATAGTACAAATCAATTACATATATATGGAGATATTATTTTTCCCTCTTCAATTGTTTTTCATGCAGCTTACCCAATATAATTGTTCTGTTAGTTGTACACTACTCTGTGATAGCAAATAATAATAATAAAATAATTATGATGATATTGCCCCTGTTTTGGTGATATTCTGAATGTTTATACGTAAATGCAAAATTTTTAATTAAAAGTAATTAGAGGCTGGGCATGGTGGCTCACACCTGTAATCCCAGTTTTTTGGGTGGTTGAGGCAGGTGGATCACTTGAGGTCAGGAGCTCAAGACCAGCCTGGCCAACATGGCGAAACCCCATCTCTACCAAAACTACAAAAATTAGCCAGGCGTGGTGGCAAGCGCATGTAATCCCAGCTACTCGGGAGGCTGAGGCAGGAGAATTGCTTGAACCTGGGAGGCGGAGGCTGCAGTGAGCCGAGACGGCACCACTGCACTCCAGCCTGGGTGACAGAGCAAGACTCTGTCTCAAAAATAAATAAATAAATAAATGTAATTAGAAAAAATGATTTCTTCCACATTTAGGTGAAATTAAATATACTACTAAGGGGAAGATAATCTGATAAAACAGAATAACAATACATTACAGTTAGATTGGTGGATATGATAGAAAGAGCAATGCCTTGAGGCTTGGATTTGAATCCTGACCACTTGCTAATTGTGGGAATTTAGGCAAATCTCTTAATTTTGCTGATATATTGCCTCTGTAAAACAGGGGTAATAATATCTGCTTTATAGAACTGTTCTATGGATTAAATAAAATAATAAAAGCACCTTGCCACATGTATTATATGTAGTAAGCATTTTATCCATTCCCCTCACATTTTTGCCCTAGTCCTTCAATTTTTGCCTCAAAATGTAGAATATTGACATTTAAAATGTTGAGCACAGTAACCCTTGGAATTTGTGGATTTAACACACATTTCAAATACTAATTTTAAGTGACTCTGAAATTCTTAACTTATTCAAATTAAAAACTTTTTTCCAAATTGTGCATATAAACAATCTGTGCTTCCAGGCTGTTATGAAAAAGGCAAAGAACTTAGCAAGGAAGTAAAACCCTCAGGTCGAGAACAAGTTTTGTGGAAAATAGACCCCCAAAGAATATTATCTTCCCTTTGGTTTTGCAATTCAGGTAGATCTCTGGCTAATGTTAGTGCAGTAATAATTGTGCTGTTGTTAGGAATACATTAATAGTAACAATAGATAAGATACAGAGTGCTTATTCCTTGATAGCCTCTGTACTAAAAGCTTTTCTCAATCTCACCTATGAGATTAACATTATTATTGTACCCATTTTATTTATTTATTATTTTATTATTATTTTATTTTTTTTGAGACTGAGTCTGCTCTATCACCCAGGCTGGAGTACAGTGCCACGATCTCAGCTCACTGCAACCCCTGCCTTCCGGGTTCAAGAGATTCTCCTGCCTCAGCCTCCTGTGTAGCTGGGATTACAGGCGTGGGCCACCATGCCTAGCTAATTTTTGTATTTTTGGTAGAGATGGGGTTTCACCATGTTGGCTAGCCTGGTCTTGAACTCCTGACCTCAGGTGATACGCCCGCCTCAGCCTCCTAAAGTGCTGGGATTACAGGCGTGAGACACCATGCCCGGCCTATTATACCCATTTTAATGGTGTATTAAGATAAAGATTTCATTTTAGTAACATAATTTATTTTAATCATTGTACAAGTGAGTTTAGCCTTGCAATTACAGAATCGTTAAAAGTATGAAGAATTCACATAAGTATCTGTAATGATTTACTGTACTATGCTGCTTCTCAGTACATAGAATTATAGCTAGCTGATAATTCTCGTGTGAAATTGCTACAGTAGTATGTGCTAATTTGGAAATTCACAAAAGTTTGAAGATATTGCCATGATGAATTTAAAGAGGCCATAATTCAAGAGAATTAAGATCAATAGAAAACCAAGAATTGGCCAAGTGCCAATTTCTCTCACACACTTTGGAAAGCTGGAGTGGGTGTATTGCTTCAGGTCAGACATTCAAAACCAGCCTGAGCAATATAGCAAGACTCCCACCTCTAAAAAAAAATATTAAAAATTAGGCATATGTCTATAGTCCCAGCTACTCGGGAGGCTGAGGTGAAAGGATAGCTTGACCCCAGGAGTTTGAGGTTGCAGTGAGCTATGATCACACCACTGCACTACATCCATAGTGAGAGAGTGAGACCCTGTCTCAAAAGAAAACCAAATGAATAAACAAAAGAAACAAAGAATTTAACAAAGCAAGGCCCACAGCATCCTTACCTGCTGTGTGACTCGTTCTGGGTACCATCTCCCCATCATCCTCTGCAAAATAATCTCTGTGGAGGCAAACACATCATTAATTAATGAGATACTACCCCACAAGGCTCCCATCCCAGGGATCGAGGAGAAGACACCTACCTATTTGTCATTTCTATTTATCTCTCTGCAAGTATTTACTAAGCTTCTATTATGTATCAGGGACCGTGTCAAGTGCTAGGGATACAAAGGCAAACACCACAGAAGAGTTCCTATTCTCAATAAGTACATGAGAGCCAGCCATTAAATAATTTCACAAGAATTAACTACTATTGTAGTAAATGTTGTGAAGGAAAATGCAGAGGGAACTTAACTAGCACAGGGACTCAGAGAAACTCAGGGAAAGGAACATTTAAACGTAGATGGGAGGATGTCAACCAGGTGTAGAATGGGAGAATGGGAGTGGAAGAGTGTTCCATCATGAGAGAACAGCAAAGGCCCTGAGTCAGAAAGGACTCTGGCCTGTTAGAGGAACAAAGAAAGCCAATGTTGCAACCAGGCCACGCAGGACCTTGTGGTATGGGGTAAGGCCACTGAGTCTAATGTGAAAAGCTATGGGAAATCAATGAAGGATTTTAAATTAAGGAAAGAATGGTAATGATCAGATTTATATTTTAGATAGGTCATTCCAGCTGCATTCTGGCTCTACACAGTGAGACTGTGGAGGGGCAAAAATGGATGGTGAGAATCTATATTCCAAATAGGAAGTTGTGATGGTTTAACAAAGGGGAAATTTTAAAAATTTGAGATATGTTTAGAAAGTAGAATTGACACAGAAACCTTGAAAAACAGACAAAGTTTATGAGTGGAAATGTTAATAACACCATGATTCAGTAGCAAGAGGTGTATCTGTTCAGCATAGTAAATACCACCATCCCTAGCAGAGAGGGGACAGTATCTCAAAATGTATTCAACAAATACTTCTCAAGCCCATGCTTGACAAGTGCTTTTAGGCACTGTTGTAAGCTCCACAAATGTAGCAGTGAGCAAAACAGACAAAAATCCCTGCACTCATGGAATTTTTACAGTAAGGGGAGACAAATAAATAAATTGTATAGTAGCAGTTGGGAACAAGTGCTATAAAAAAAGTAAAGTGGGGAATGTGGATAGGGAGAGCTGGAGGTAGGAGGAGGTAGAGGGGATTGCAATTTTCAGTAGACAAGGCTGCTCTATGAAGCCATAAGGACAGGCATGGGGGTCTCTAGGGAAAGAGTCTTCTAAGCAGAGAACATAAAATGCAAAGGTCCATAAGAGGGAGCATACTAGTTAGTGGCTGGGTGCAGTGAGCACGTGGTGAGCAGTAGGAGGTGAGGTCAGGGAAGTAATGGGAAGACTGGGCAGGGGGCGCAGACTGTTTGAAGCCTTTCAAGACATGGAGAGGCATTTAGCCACTAGAGTCTTGTGAATCAAAAAGAAAGACGGACTCAGTGACTAATATTTTAAAGGGGGACTGTCTACTGTCTTGACAACTGACTGTCTGATGGGGATGTCAGAAACAGATGATTTCAATAAACCTACAGAAAGATGCTTTCAATAGGTAGCTTATTCTTTAAACTCTTGGGGGCTCCCAAGAATTCTGTAAACAGAGATGTAGAGGACTTCTCTCTTTCTCTCTTTTTTTTTTTTTTTTTTTTGAGACAGAGTTTTGCTTTTGTTGCCCAGGCTGGAGTGCATGGCACGATCTCGGCTCACCACAACCTCCGCCTCCCAGGTTCAAGCGATTCTCCTGCCCCAGCCTCCCCAGTAGCTGGGATTACAGGTGCCTGCCACCATGCCCAGCTAATTTTGTATTTTTAGTAGAGGCGGGGTTTCTCCGTGTTGGTCAGGCTGGTCTCGAACTCCTGACCTCAGGTGATCCGCCCGCCTCGGCCTCCCAAAGTGCAGAGGTTACAGGCATGAGCCACTGTGCCAAGCCTACAGGACTTCTCTTTTTAAAAGCCAGAAGATATTCACAGGGAGGCAGAGGAGGACCTGGCATTTGCTTGGAAATTGGTGGTTTTTTCTTCCCTGCCTCAGGGCTGGATCTTGGCAGAAATCTTCACTTTGTTAAGTCCCAGATGGACATGAAAATACCAGACAGGGCACATCGGGCTACACATGCCACCTGACAATTATTTCGTATCCAAAAGTAGATCACCAGCTTGTGATTCTTCCAGGCCCCCTGCCTCTTTCCCTTCTCCTCCTTAAAAGCTTTCCCTGAGAGTAAACAATGCCAAAGAGGAATGTACTACGTATGCACTCCCCTCTGTGGAGGTAAAATAGGAGAAGGATGTCAAAACCATCAACCAGAACAATGTCTTAAAAAAATCTGTGGGGAAAAAATTTATACTTAGCTGCTGCTATTCACTGAGCATTTCTGCCTAGTCCACAGACAAAGGTGGCTGCATCTGCTGTCAGGAGCAAGGTCAACCCTCGGGCCAAATTCAGCCCATCCGACATGTTTTATTTAGCCCACACAAGTTTGACCCACTTCTAACTGCTCTTGGGAAATGAGTGGGTCTGCCAACACTGGGCCTGCCTTCCCACACAGCGGGAGAACTTGCCCCCTTTACACAGGACAGGGATGTGTTTTCCAGTTTGCCACAGTCCCTGCCACTCCCTGTCCTTGTCGTCCCTCATTCACTTAATTATGATACTTGCCTGGCATCTTGCAGGTTTCTGATGCTGTTACCCCAGTATAGACCAAGTGCAGACAGAATTTCATTTCTGCTTTATTAAGACACAGTCTTGAGAAACCCATTGGCTTCACACACAATTAATTAATTTGTGGCAACAAGCTACTATATTGGCTTGCATGTCACTTTCACCTCTCTGGGCATTAGTTTTCTCTAATATTTATAAAAGAAGGACATGACTTTCTAAGGTTCCTTGCAGTAATTATGCAACTCTATTCTAATAGATGCTTAAACATAAAACCCATTTTAATACTGTCCAAGGATCCAGGATACCTTCCAGACATGATCTCACTCAATCTTCTCTGCTCTGCAGATTGCACATTATAGGTCAAGAGCAAGCTACAACACAGCAATACATATCAGCCCTACCAGACACCTCACCCTTCCCGCATCACCCACACCCACTCTGAGCACACTGCCTGCCTGATATGAATCAATAACTGGAAGGATAGAGAGGTCACTTTAGATGGGTACTGAGTTAATAAGCATACTCGCAGTGTCTCAGGAGATTTTTAAGAAATCACTTTAGCTCTATTAACAGCTCAAGTTCCCTCTCTTATTGCCAGAGAAAGGGGCTCACTCAGCTGCTCCACAAGTTACAAAGGAATCTGACGCTCCCCAAGGGAAGGGGCTCAGAGTGGAGAAACACAGAGTATAAGTCTAAGGGGTTGCAATTTGTGACAACATTTGATAAACCAAAGTGCAAGGAGAATTGGGGTATGGTAGAGACAGACTCCAAGCATGGACACACACACACACACACACACACACACACACACACACACACACACACAAAGTGGTAATATATGTTGGTACATTCTTTCGTATTACCCAAGTTCAGAAAAAAATTTTATATCCTTGTCCTAGTTTCTCAAATTCAAGTGTCTCTAGCTTTTTAAAATATCAATCCATGAATGACTCATGCTCAGCTAATATGTGGTTCGCCAGGCCACTTTTAGCTCTCCTGCATTTCCATATATAATCTTTCTCCCATGATGCTTTCACTTAAAATTTTGCTTTTTCTGTATAAATGAATTATATTTTTCCTCAGTGTCTTACCTTGTCTTTCTCCCTACGTCATCAATCTGCTAATGACAATACCAATTCCACTAAAACCACATATATTAATATTCTCACCAGGACATTATTTTGCTTTTGGAAGTACCAAGCATTTTCCAAGTACAACCTACTCACAAGCTGTTCACCTGCTTGATTTCTGCATGGTATATCACTCATATTTTCTTGAGTTGCTGATAAGTAGCTATTAAGATATTAGACTCAAATAATACATCAACATTCAATATCCCATATTACTTGGTTTTTCTATGGCTTTCCAGGGTGATTAAGTTGAGAATGATCAGGAAATAATTGCTTCTCTGAAGGCCATCTGCCACCCCCTGATATTCTGACATTCTCAAACTGTCCTGTGATGATTTCTTCCAGTAATTTTCTAAGAATGGTAGTTTCATTTATGGCCAGGGTTATCCAAAACACTCAGTTTTGCTTTACTTGAAACTGGCCACTGATATAGCTCCTTTCAAGATTCAAGCATCTCATTGGTCCCACTAGTCTAGTTTCTCATAACATTGTGGGGAGGGGTAGACACTTGGGTTTCTTCTTGCTTAGGAGCCTGCAGAGAGAGATATTTTCTATAAGGCAGGTATAGACCTTCCTCCGTAAACTGTTATTTCTGGTATTATTTTCTTGTATTTTAGTCTGTCTAATTTGTGGACTGAGAGGAACAACAGATCATATGAATGAATCATCTCATTCAAAAGCAATGACAAGATGGTAATCATCATTACAAAGCAGGTTCTATGAGTCTTTGAACAGTATGAGATATTTGTATTGTAGGACCAAAATCACCACTAAAACTATTTCTAAGGTACTGATGCCTGTCTAGGCTCCATACTTTCTTCTCTCCAGTCTCACCTACTAAAATAATTAACCTAAGGTTATTTATTCCCATATGAGTGTCTAAACTCCCAAAGGAATGGTAATTTTCAGGCCCTCTCTTCAGGCCAATCACATGTATTTAGTTTGTTCTGAGAACCACATAGTCTGGCCCTCCTACTTCATCACTAACCACCACCCTTGCTTAACATTTCTAAGCCTGAAGACCAGGGCCATCTCCCAGAGGCATTTTCTAGCTTTCAAGCTTCTTTATATATATATATATATATATATATATATATATATATATATATATATATATTATTATTATGAACAAAAATTCAGAAGGAGAAAAAACAATCTGCTATAGCAATACCTAGAGCGAAAACCTGGGCCTTCATTGCTATTTTTAGGGTTTTTATAATTCCATTTTGTAAACATTTATTGAGAAGTTGCTTTTATGCCAGGTACTGGAAATACAAAGGTGAAAAAGTATATATACCCTGTGGTTAAAGTACTCAGAATCTATTGAGGGAAGCAGGCACATGATTCAGAGAGATAATTATTAGAAAAATTAGATTTAACAGAGATTTCAGAACATAAATAAGATAGCAATTAATTTTGTCCTGGTGGGGAGTGGGCTGGGACAGGGTGGTTGGTGGAGGGGTCTAGGACATTTACAGAAAACAGATAACACTGAATCTAGGTCTTAAAGGATGGGTGTAAATACACAAGGAAACATAGCAAAGACCCAATTATAGGAAAATGAACGGTGTGTTCAGGGGGCTTTCATTTTGTTTTCCCCTTCCCAACCACCCCGCTCCATCTTCCCCCCACCCTGAGGAGCCCTAAACTGCCTCCTAGGACATCTTCCAACTTCCTGTTTACCTTTCCCCCTCCTCAAGCCTTCCTCCCCAAGCGCTCACCCTCAGGTGGGAATATGAAGGGAAGCCAAGGGTGAAATTGTTTCTTCATTTGCACCTCCCTCCTCAAACACTATAGCTTAGAAACCCCCAAAATGATTTAAAATAATGTCAGCAAGAAAGGGGCTAAGATTTGCACTATTGTGAAAATACCCATAGAAACAAACTAGAAAAGAACCCAGAGAAATGAAAAGTCTGGAGGTTTAGAGTGGCGGAAAATATACTGAGCATCCTCCCCCTTTTTTTCTTACTATTTTTGCCAAAAGGCTAATTCTTATTTTTAAAAAGTTTGAATAATCTATTTTTATTGAATTTACATTGCTCTTCCTAATTAATGACCTTGATAAAAGATGAACTATGGAAAGGATTCGGCTCGGTGTGGCCTCTCAAACAGTGAGGGGCATGTGGCATGACAGCAAGACTGCTGAAGTTTGCTCTTTCTTGGGGTCCTCACAGGAGTAGGCATTGAACCAAATGCAGATTCTGTTCCAATTCCCATATTCTTGGAGCTCATTTAACATGAGTTGCTGGTTTCTGTTTCAAATGAAATAAATTTTTCAAACGTTCCAAGATGCATTTTTCCTATTTTTAATTTACAGCTATATTCAACTGTGGCAAACACAAAAGGGTCAGAATGAGAAGAACTGTGGCCTATTTTTTAATATGGGAAGCTCTGGCCCTGACAGTTTATAAATGGTAAGATTTTAGAAATAGTGTCAACTTAAAAACAAAGACATCTACAGTTAACAATTTCTGGACTGCTGGTGCATAATTTTATAATTCCACAGGTTTTCTTGCACTGGAATTTTCCTCAATACTAATCTTGTATTAAATGAACATATTATTATCATGGACAACCATCACCACTCACCACCAATGCTGCCTCTGCAATTTACTGAATGCCTGATACTTTCTAGGCATCAGTTCATTCAGTCATCATAGAATCCTGTGAAGTACGTCATACAATCCCTGTTTACAGATGAGGAAACAAGGGGCCTGGAAGGATAAAGTAATTTGCCCAAGATCGCACAGCTAGTTGGTGTCAGAGCCTGAACTTGAAAACTGTCTATTTGACTCCAAACTTTTACTCTTCCCAATATGCCCTATTTCTAACCACACATTTACAGGGAACCTCCTTTGTACCTGCCTTGACTCCAGGGAACTCACCCCTGAGAAGCTGAGGTGAAAGGAAGGGTGGACGGTTTGCTGTGCTAATGAGATGGGATTTTTGTCTCAAACCCTGACACAAATTTGTTTCTTAGACTATCAACTTATCCCTGATGGGCACAGCTTACACTTGAGTATTTGAGTACTGGTGTAACAGATGCCATGTGACAAAATAATTAAAATCCCAAAACGGAAGTGGCTAGTGTGACTTTTTATATAGGTCCTATCGTGAAAAGTGAGTCATCCATCATTTTATACTTCTCTATCTCTAACCCACTTTTTTCAGAATATTTACATCTTTCTCCAACCCCTCCCGTGATAACACTTGGCATTGTCCCTACCCAAGGGAATAAACTGAAACGCGGGAAAGGTGGTGGAAACAGAAACAATCAAAGTGGAAAAGGCATTAGTGAACAAGCTCTGAGACTTCTCAGATGTTTTTTTTTCCTCTTGCCAAGGAGAGACACTGGATATATTTTCTATGTTCCAAATGTTGCCAAATACCCTCCCACAATGTGGCACCCGAATTGTAAAAGCACATATTCAAATGCAAATAGGGTAAAAGCCCCAGATGCAGAACGTTAAGACTATTATATAATACAGTGAAATTATCATTTTTTCTCATCTCAAGATCTGTCATTATAACCTCTGCAAGTGAGGATGCTTAATTGGCAAAGCTCCCAGAGGAGAGAGAGCATCACGGTGAGCCTCCTTCTGCATGCTGACTAAGTGTGGGCCGACTTGGCACCGATACAGAAACATCCACTTTATTCCAGTATAGGCTGCAATTACACCCTTCACTCAAAGTCTATTCACTGACAGTGACCATCACTCTGAGAGGCTGTTTTCTGGAGTGCTAAGTCCCCAATAGCTACAGTGAGCTACAAAATCATCGTGCATCCACAACAATTTCTTTAAGTTTCGGGATCTTTGTTTTGTTTTGTTTTTGGTCCAGCACTAAGTCTTCATCCTAAAGAAAATAAGGAAACTAACATTACTTTCTTGATGCTATCATCAAGGTTCAGAGAAACCCCTTAATAAGTAAGTAGTTATTTTTCCTCACTTTACCTTCTGAGGTCATCACATATCCAAATATCTAATAAATTTTCCTCTACCTCCCCTGCATCAGCCAAGACATAGGTATCACTCTTTCAAAAGAAGACATGAAAATAACCTGCTTTGGATTCAGTCACATTACCCCAGGGATGGTGTATGGTCTCTCCACCCACCTCTGAAACTTACCTTTTGCATTTTGCTTTTGGTCCTGGCAATGCACCCTACAATCCTCAGTTTTCATTAACAACTAATATCCACAAGGCACTGGAGTATATTGCAGTTGGCTCAATCTTTCTAGAGCCCTAGACTGAATGTTAAGAAACAGGTGATTTTTTCCCCTTTCCACCTACTTTTATATTCACATAATCTTTCAGTTTCTTTTCTTTACAATGTCTATTTTTGATGATTTTAAAAGAAGTACATGCCTCGTAGAAATTTTGGAAAAGAGAAAAGTGTACAGAGAAAAATAAAAATAATTTTTAAAATTCTACCACCTGAAGGCAACATTGATAAAGATTTTTATGTATTTAGTTGTTCTTCAGTTTATTTGCCTGTGTGAATTCTGCAAATGGAAATAATATTGAATATAACAGTTCTGCATCTTGCTTTTATTTACACTACGGAAATCAAAGGTTGTGAGGAATATATTTTTAGAGGAAGAGAAAGAGTCAGGGAAGGAGGAGCAGGAGAAAGAGGCAGGTGGGAGGAGGAGGAGAATTTCTCAGCAGCATTATAGACCTGTTGAGGATTAGCAAGAATGAATCTAGAGTCTTTCTTCTCAGTGCGGTTTTATAACATACTAAAACAACACTCATAGAATCCTCTAGGATTTTAAAATAAAATTGACTAAGGGTTACCAAGCCGGGAGATGGTTAAGGCAGTTAGAGATTCTAAAGCAGCGTTGAGAACACGATTCAAAGAGCTGACTCTGACGTCTAGGTTCAGTATGGAGGTGAATAAACAGCAGATGGCCTGGAAGATACAGAGAGTTGAGGAACTGGAATACATGACGCAGTAAACAACATTCAGAAAGAACGAGGAAGTGGGGGACTTGACCTGTGGTCAAGAAGTATAATTTCAGCATTAAGGATCCTAAGGGTGGAAAATCTGGAAGAAAGATGAGCTACAAAAGATGGCTGTGCTGATAGCATACTGAAGTGAATTCGAGTTAAGGCTATGTCAGGTCAAGGTATAACAGTGATGTATGTCCATGCCTAGTGACCCCTCTAGAATGTCAGTCTCTGGAAGGGAGGGTTTTTAGATCATTCACTATCGTCTGTCCAGCATTAAAGAAGTCTAGATCATAGGAATTTGATGCGTATTTCTTTTTTTTTCTTTTCCCGTAACTGAGGAAACAAGACACATATTTCTTAAACAATGATAAATACAATCTGAATGTATAATGGTGTCAAGTTTGATAACCTGTTGTATCCATTCTACAATAAGGAGACACCCACCAAACAGATATTCCCATCGGCCTTTTGGGGAATGTTCTCTGGAAAGCTCTTAATAGATGACCTTCTAAGTGCTAGAGGCAATGTTAGATGCTGAAGACTTATAGACAAAAACGTTTCATTCTGCCGATAAACTTGGAGTATGGAAAATATCAAGTTAACCAACTAGCTACATGCTACAACAGAGTAGGCAGAGCGTGTTCTGGCTACACCCAGATCTAGGTTCTAAAAATAATTCCTAAAGGAGGTACTTCTGAATCTAACCTCTGAAGGGTATACAAATTTATCCCAGCAAAGGCAAGGCTAGATGTGTAGGTGGGAACAACTGGTATATTAAGGCCCACTCATAATAATTTTAGCTCAGGGTAAATTAAGTCGCAATGACTCTCCAACCAGCTCCCCGGGTCTGCTGGCAATAATGCTGCTCCTGTGGTGCCAATAACCTGAAAATCTCCAAGTAATACAAGAAAGTTATACACAGAAAACCTCCAAGTGATACACAGAAAAACCTAAAACCAACTCAATTCCAAACTTTACATGTTGTCATTTGGTAGACACAAATGTGAACTTCTTCCTGCAATAAAAACCTATGTTGACTTAGTTTAAAAGCAGCATATAAAGGATGTTGCCCATAATCCCCTAACCAAACACGGCATCTATTTTCTCTTTTCTCTGTCCTTGTAATAGACATCCTAATAGGTATACATAGTTTTGATGTAATTTACACCTATCTTTTACTTTCTTATGTTAAAATTTTCTGTTTATTATCATTTCAGGAAACGTTTCAGGATAGTAATAGAGATTAACAGCAACAGTGAAGCATTTTACCCCAGAGAAGGGTAAAAGTTGGAAATGTTGCTATTGATTCACCTAGGTTATGCCACTTTAATGTCAGTGTGCCTCAGTTTTCCCCTTTACAATACAGGGATTCAGGTCTTGAAAAAGATATTTAAATTGAATGCAATATCCTTCTTATGGGACTATAACTTTAAGTAATTTGCAGTGTACTTTCAAGAACTGGAAATGTTGACGTAGTTATTCTACTTCTGAACATCTCTCATTCAAAAAATAATGCTGTGGAAGAAGATGCTTTATGCACCTAGACATTTATCAAGTATTATTTATAATAGTTAAAAATTGGAAGTCTACATCCTTTGGGTTAGGCGTAATGATTTAAAAGACACTGTAAATCCACAGCATGTTATTCTACATTATGAATGATAATATACCACATTATGAAGTGGAAAATAAATTCATTCTTAAATTGTGTGAAATGCTAGAAATTATTCAATTTTCTTTGTGAGTCAATGCTTTCTAGTTTTTTTGTTTTTTTTGTTTTTTTTTTTTTTTTTCCGACAGAGTCTTGCTCTGTCACCCAGGCTGGAGTGCAGTGGTGTGATCTCGGCTCACTGCAACCTCCACTTCCTGGGTTCAAGCAATTCTCATTCCTCGGCCTCCCGATTAGCTGGGATTACAGGCACCCCCCACCATGCCCACTAATTTTTGTATCTTTAGTAGAGATGGGGTTTCAACATGTTGGCCAGGCTGGTCTCGAACTCCTGACCTCAAGTGATCCTCCTGCCTTGGCCTCCCAAAGTGCTGGGATTACAGGCGAGAGCCACTGTGCCTGGCCAGTGAATGCTTTCTGTATGTCAGAAGTTATTGCTTCTTTCCACCCTTTCCACCATGACCATGATAAGAAGACACTAGTTGCAAGTTACCTCTTCCCTCACTGGCCTTGGAAAAGACAAGAAAGAAAGACGTTTCTGTGGAATGTAACAAGCAGAAAAGGACTGAAGATAATGAGACAGATTAAGGAAAGATGAATCACAGGCTGTGAAACTGCTATGAAAATAAAACAGTATTATTATACAATTCATTATAAATAGTCTATGACTAATTTAGCACTTTAGCCATAAGCGTTCAGAAAAAAGAAATTCAGATCATGCTTGTCTTGCTGGCCACAGAACTCAGAAAATGCTCTGAGGCAGAGGAAAACAAGTCCTCAGTGCATTTGAGTGTTTTAAAATAGAATCACATAGAGCCACCTTGGGTCAATATGACATCTCTTGTATTCTGGACTTTCTTCTAACTTTAAATGCTATTTGAATTTTTGCCAGAGACAACTTGTGGAATGTTCTGAGCCCAGTTTGGAATTTTATTTACAAAATGGGGTAGATTTCAATAGAAGTAGTGTCCTGGGGCATCCACTGAATGGATGGATGCTCCACTTAGCCTTGAAAATATGATCCCTCAGCCACAGTCAGGCGAGCCCCCCAGGATGGGGAGGGCACCATGAGGTGTTACTTATCCTTTCTGAGACAAAAACAACCCCTTCCCAGTCTTTAGGTATTTTAAACATAGTCTTAGCATGTAGCTGAAAAAATGGGGGTTGGGGGAGTCAGGTCCAGACTGATCTAGTATGTGGAAAATAAGCAAGTAGGAGTGAAAGCATTGATTCTGGCAAATTCCCCAAGCCGAAATCCAAGTATAGGCCCATTTAAAAGTAGACTGGAGTTGCCAAGGCAGAATTTCCTTCTTAAAATTCAGATAATTAGTTGCTAGCAGTGCTGAATATTAAACAGGAAATTCAACTTCCAAAGATGTTTCAATAATAGAATTCTGAAAACAAGCATTTTCCTAATATGAAGTGTTACATGCAAAGCACCAGCACCATAATAAGTAAAGGTATTGGAATTAACTAGGCCTTCATACAACACATACTAGTTGTGTGAATGCCAGCAAATCATTTAACCACTTTAACCTCAGTGGCCATATATCTCTGGTTGTAACTATGTCTTTGTAAACAGGACTCTCTACTAACTCACCATAAATTCAGAGAAAAATAAATGTCCCTGATTCCTCTAGGCTAAACATTTATATAGAGAAAAACAAATTCAAATAAGCTATCAATGGAGATCTGTTAAGTACAATATAGCTGTGGTAAATGGACACCTTGTCTTGCTTGAAGGCTGTACTCCAGAAAAGAAACAAAGTCAAAAAAATTCTTAAATTTTGAAACCAGATCATTAATTTTCTTGAATGTTACTTCCATTTTCCAAATTTTCACAGATACAGCAAGCAAATGCAATTAATGCTTGCATTTTATTAAATCAAATTGCAGGGGAATAGAAAACAAAACAAAACAGACTAATTTGCTTTCCTTTTTTAACCTTCAGTCTTATAGTTTGCCCTTAAACATTTCTAGTTCACTCTTTTCTTGAGTTATGTGTTCGGGGAAGTTGTATAAGGTTCATATATGATTCACCTGATGTTTACTCAGCTTTCTCATATGCTAGAAACCAGAACATTTCCACTGAAATGGGGAAGATAATTAGTAATGACTTTTTCAGCATTGAACGATGTGGTAGGCTAAAATAATGGCCTTATAAGAATGTCCACATTCCTAATCCCCAGATCCTGTGTATATGCCACTTTCCATAGCAAGAGAGGGCTTTGCAGATGTGACTAAAGATTTTGAGATGAGGAGATTATCCTGGATTATCTGGTTGGGTCCAATGTAATCATAAGGGTCCTAGTAAGAGGGACACTGGAGGGTCAGAATGATCAAAGGAGATGTGATGATAGAAGCAGAGGCCAGTGATGGCATTGCTGGAAGGGGCTATGAACCCAGAATGTGGGCAGTCTCTAGAAGCCATGAAGGGCAAGGAACAAATTCTCCTTTAGAGCCTCTAGAAGGAGCACAGTCCTGCTGATACCTTGGTTTTAACCTAGAAGACCAAATTTCAGACTTCTGACCTCCAGAACTTTAAGGCAATACATTTGTACTGTTTTAAGCCACTAAGTTTGTGGTGATTTGGCTGGGCGCAGTGGCTCACATCTGTAATCCCAGCACTTTGGGAGGCCAAGGTGGGTGGATCACTTGAGGTCAGGAGTTTGAGACCAGCCAGGCCAACATGGTGAAACCCCGTCTCTACTAAAAATACAAAAATTAGCTGAGTGTGGTGCCATGTGCCTGTAATCCCAGCTACTTGGGAGGCTGAGGCAGGAGAATCCCTTGAACCTGGGAGGCGGAGGTTGCAGTGAGCCAAGATTGCACCACTGCACGCTAGCCTGGGCAACAGAGTGAGACTCCATCTCAAAAAAAAAAAAAAAAAAAAGTTTGTGGTGATTTGTTACACCAGCAATAGGAAATTAATACAAACAGTAATCCTGAAGTACTGATAATCTTTAAAGCAGAAGGTGTAGGGAGTTGCTAGTCCAGACAGGTGGATGTTAAAAATTTAGAGCAGTAGAAGCTGTTTGCCTGGTTGACACTGGACCTGCCGGGTGAGAAAACCTCCCCTCATCATCAAGTTCTTCATCAGCTCCATGAGCTTATTCTTTTGACAACTCTCGCCCTGTTCACGGAAATAAATCTGAAAGCTGGTGACCAAATCAGCTTTTTGTAATGCCAGTATATTCATAGAAAATTTGCTATTCCAGAGCCAACCATGCTCTGTCCAAATGATTTAACCAGTGAGTTTGGCAACAGTCAGGTAACAGCCCCAGCGGGTAGGGGGAACCTTTCCATTGAGCTGTAGAGGGGCAGATGATGTGTAGCTGGGAGTAGAGCATATCTAACTTTGAGAACTAAAATATCAAGCACCTTGTCCTTTGTGGGTAAATTGAGCAAGTAGCTAGCTTCAGAAACAAGTCATAAACTGAGTCACCTACAAAACTCTACTAAAATAAAGTAAAAGCATAGATTTTGGAATTAAACGGTTCAAGGCTATATTTCTTTCTCAGCTGTGTGTGTCACTCTGGGAAAATTATTTAATCTTTCTGAAGCTCAATTTCCTTTTCTTAGAAATGAGTATAACATTTACTTCATAGGGTTGTAAGGATTAGGTGAATTAAGTATTCAAAGAGATTAGCACACAATTAAAGCTTAATAAATGTTATCAATTATGGTTAATTTTTATTCTTTCAATCCCCTATCCACTGTGTACCCAGAGCAGCCAATGCGTATCTCTGCCTTAGTGTCTCTCTATTAAAATTAGAGATGATGAGAATGTAAAGCCATTAAAGGCAGAGACCCAGTCTCATTCATTGCATTCATTGTTTTATTCTTACCATCTAGCACAGCGTCTGACCTGTTTGGGGCTCTCAAAATTTATTTATTTATTTATTTATTTTTGAGACAGAGTCTCACTGTGTCACCCAGGCTGGAGTGCAGTGGTATAATCTCAGCTCACTGCAACATCCGCCTCCCGGGTTCAAGGGATTCTCCTGCCTCAGGCTCCTAAGTAGCTGGGACTACAGGTGCAGACACCACACCTGGCTAATTTTTGTATTTTTAGTGGAGATGGGGTTTCAGCACGTTGGCCAGACTGGTCTCGAACTTCTGACCTCAAGTCATCCACCTGCCTTGGCCTCTCAAACTGTTGAGACTACAGGCGTGAGCCATTTCATCCGGCCCTCAAATTTTTAATAAGTGTTTATGAACAAATCTGATCTGTGAGTTAGGAAGGATCTGAGATGTCAGCCATAATCTGTGATTATAGGATTTTTCCAACTGTGACCCATTAGGTGGAGAAATAAATTCAGTGAATCAGAGCCAACATTTTATTTTTAAAGAAAAAGAATAGAATAGCAAATATCAGAGTGCAAAACACATAGTAAAGTTAAGTATTGTTACAAGAAACTTTGTTACATATGTAAGTGTACTTGGTGGCAATGTAAATATATTACTTATTGTGAGTAGTGGTTAAAAAATATGTGAACATTCTGAATGTTCCACCTTGCCAGCATTTGCTACTTTCTATCTTTTTAATTTCAGCCATTCTGATATGTATATAGCAGCATGGTGTTGTGGTTCTAATTTGCATTTCCCTGATAACTAGTGATGTGGAGCACCTTTTCACTATGTTCTTCCCTTTGGATACCCTCTTTTTTTTTTTTTTTTTTTTTTTTTTTTTTTTTTTTTGAGATGTAGGCTCGCTCTGTCACCCAGGCTGGAGTGCAGTGGCGCGATCTCGGCTCACTGCAAGCTCCGCCTCTCAGGTTCAGGCCATTCTCCTGCCTCAGCCTCCCGAGTAGCTGGGACTACAGGTGCCTGCAACCACGCCCGGCTAATTTTTTGTATTTTTAGTAGAGACGGGGTTTCACCGTGTTAGCCAGGACTATCTCGATCTCCTGACCCCGTGATCCGCCCGCCTCGGCCTCCCAAAGTGCTGGGATTACAGGCGTGAGCCACCGCGCCTGGCCTGGATACCCGCTTTAGAAATCTCTTTTGTAATCTGTTTAAAAAAAAAACAATCTGGCAGTATTTACTAAATCTGAACATGCATTTCCTATTACGCAGAAATCATACTTCTACTTATTTACTCAACAGAAATGTGTACATATGTTCACCAAAAGACCTGTACAGAAATGTTCATAGCAACACTGTTTATAATAGCTCCAAACTGGAAATTGCCCAAGTGCCTATTAAGAATACAATGGACAAATAAATTTGATATATTTATACACTATAGAAGCCTATTTAAAAGCAAGAATAAATGGACTACAGTACCATATAACAGTATAGAACTCCAAAAGCAAAAGATTGAGTGAAAGGAGCCACGTACGAAAGAGTACATGGTGTATAATTTCATTTACATAAAGTTCAAAACTAGGCAAAATTATTCTATGGTGTTAAAAATTAGGATAATGATTATCCTTGAAGTCATCAGGAGGGCTTCAGGGATGCTGGTAATGTTCCCTTTCTCTATCTGAATGCCCATCCCATGAGTATACTCAGTTTGTCAAATTAATTGGACTGTAAATATATAATTTGCGATTTTTCCAAATCATTTCTGAATTTGTCTGAAATTGTTACATGTAAATATAAAATTTTTAAAACTTAATAAATAATACTTTTTTCTTCAAGTGTGAAAAACACTGGCAGAGAGCAAAAGGCCCTGATACACTCACTCCCATCACCATCAAGTGGTCATCTAGCCTTTGCCTGAGTAACTCCAGGGTCAACAATCTCTTTACTGCCCATACTGCCCAGGCAGCTAACTTGTTAGAAAGCTTTTTTTTAATTTTTTTTTGAGACGGAGTCTCGCTCTGTAGCCCAGGCTGGAGTGCAGTGGCGCGATCTCGGCTCACTGCAAGCTCCGCTTCCCGGGTTCACGCCATTCTCCTATCTCAGCCTCCCAAGTAGCTGGGACTACAGGTGCCCGCCACCACGCCCGGCTAATTTTTTTTGTGTTTTTAGTAGAGACGGGGCTTCACTGTGTTAGCCAGGATGGTCTCAATCTCCTGACCTCGTAATCCGCCCCCCTCAGCCTCCCAAAGTACTGCGATTACAGGCATGAGCCACCTCGCCCGGTCTTTTTTTTTTTTTTGAGGCGGAGTTTCGCTTTTGTTGCCCAGGCTGGAGTGCAATGGCGTGATCTCGGCTCACCACAAACTTCTCCTCCCGGGTTCAAGCGATTCTCCTGCCTCAGCCTCCGGAGTAGCTGGGATTACAGGCATGTGCGACCACGCCCGGCTAATTTTGTATTTTAGTAGAGATGGGGTTTCTCCATGTTGGTCAGGCTGGTCTCGAACTCCCGACCTCAGGTGATCCGCCTGCCTCAGCCTCCCAAAGTGCTGGGATTACAGGCATGAGCCACTGCACCTGGCCAGAAAGCTTTTTCTTTACACTGAGCCATAACTCGCCTCCCAACAACTCGCTTGCATCGGTTGTTCTGTCCTCCTAAGAGATTCTAATGTGATTCAATCCCTCTACCACCAATAGCTCTTCGGAAATTTGAAGGAAGCTACCACATCCTCCCCACTCCCAGTCGTCATTTCTCCGGACTCAGGAGTCCCAGGTCCTTCCTTTGGCCATCCCTCAAGGCATGGCTTTGAGTTCCCTCCTGTCTCTTGATTGTACTTATTTTATCTAATGATGCCCAGAACTAAGCACAGCCCTCTCGGAGAGGCCCAAGAGGAGCAGAAAGGAGCCAAAAGTAAAATCATCACTTTTGATCTAGACAGAATCTAGACAGCCTACTTCTTCTGTCAACAAACCCTAAGCTTCAATTTGCTCCTTCTTTAATATTCACATTATACCATTCACTCCTGTTGAGCTTAGCAATCAACTAAAACACCCAAGTCTTTTGCATAAGCCCCAAATTTACCTTCTGTGTTTGTACGGTCTTCACTCTCTCAGGAGTCAGAGCGCTCATTTGGCCCCACCCCAATTCTCCAAAGCTAAATCCCACAGATGGAAGCGTATCTGTTATAGAGACACCGCTGGAATAGTCTCCCTACCCTCCCACCCACTAAAAAACAGAAACGAAGTCTTTGTCTCAATACATGGTCTCTTATCCTTACCCTTTCCTTGAATGGGGCTTCATTTTAAAGTGTGTTTGGGGGAAGGACTGGAAGAAAACGCAGTTTCACAGGCCATCTCCAAAATCTGACCTAAAAGCCAACTGTTGCCCGGCCTCAATAAAGCCTGAGCAGTGTGGTGCCCTGATCTCTTTCCTTCTCCATTCCTCCCCCAAGTGGGCTCCAACTGGAGGTTGTGGAGATGAGTGCTGCTGGGCTCTGCTCACTCAGTCCCTTTGCCTTTGTGTGAGTAGTGACAGATGAGGCTGAGAAGGAAAACGTGGCAGGGTGAGAATAAACCTGATATTGTTCAAAGCATCTGACATCAAACATATCTCTCAGGAAGACCTACTGGAATCCCTCTAGCCACACGAACAAGGAAACGACAGAGAACCATTTCTACAGAAAGTTCCAGGCGGCCTCCCTGGGTATTTTTAACATCAGGACTCGGTGGAGGGGAGAGTCATTAAGCAAGGGAAACCCCGTAAAACAGAACATGTGAAAATGACCAAGAGAGGTGGGCTGGGAACCAGGCAGGGCGAGGCTACAGAAAAGGGAAGCTGTCACGGGACCCTGGTGGTGAGGGGCGACCTCTCTCTCCCTAAGGGCTCTGGGGGAGGGGAGGGAGGAGGACCACCAAGTCTGGAGTGCGGCGAGAAGGAAACAGCCCACCTACCTCGTCCAGGTCTGCTCCATTTTCCAGGCTCTTTCCTTAGTCTCAGGACGCTCCTCACCCGGGAGGGGAAGCAGCCTGGGAAAATGAGAAGCCTTGCCCACGAATCTCCAGCGCAAAAGGCAGCAGCTTTTTCCTCCCCAGCTCCTTTCTGCGTCGGCGGCGAAGAGAGAGCTCTGCTCCCTGCTTTTTTAGAAAATGGATTTGACGTGGCCGAACCTGCGGCTAGCCGTGAGACCCGCACGAGGGAGGGACTGTTCTCAGTAGGAGGCTGGACTCGGAGCGGCGCGGCGCCCGGGGCTGTTTCGTGAGCTGGAGCCAGCGGCTGCCCGGGCGGCGGTGCGCGCACTCTCCAGGCTGAGACACGACTGGCTGGCACGAGTTGCTCGGCACCAGCTGAGCTGTCAACCGCGAGCGGAGGCGGGGCTCCCGACAACCAGTGTGCTGGGGCACAATCGGCCCAGGTTGCACGCCCCCTGAACCACCCTCGCGTCTCCCCGACCCCTCTCTCGCTGGCTCAGATGAATGATGACGGCAGAGGGCAGAGAGCTTAGAGGACGCCGTACCAAGCCCCGTCCCTCGCCCATCCCAACGAAGGTCTTAGAATACAATCAACCAACTACAGGAAGAATTTGTAGAGGAGGTTTTCTTGTGTGTCTGCATCGCCCCACCCACAGGTAACCCCAGAGCCAGAGATGGAGTCTAGGAAGGTTTAGGAGCAATCCCGGCTGAATGCAGACGTATACCCTACGTGGTCATGGAACACGATGTTGTCTTCCTAGAGATGTGACATGACAGTTTCACCATTAATCCAGGGACAGGACCCTTCATCAGGAAGGGAAGCATCCCAACAAAACCTTACAGCCCTATTAGCTGCCTGTATCCCAGACATCTCCTGTTTTAGGGTATTCTACCTCCTCGTTTTTCAGTTTCGCCAGCAACTGGGCTCTACCAATAGCTTCAAGGAGGGAGAAGCTTCCTGACTCCCAGAACACTAGAAAAGCCTCAAGACAGTAGCCATCAGGACCTAGACACTCCCTTGTGACTGTTTTAAGATCATGGAAAAGGCCTCTTTGGAGATGGCATTGCCTCAGGCCCTGTACCATGTACTTATGTATCAAGATTTAAACAAGGCAGACATACTATAATTAGAGTGCTTGCCACCCTGAAGCTCCTTTTTAGCTTTCAAATAAGACCGTTTTATTAAATGACATAATCACTGTTATTATTAGCACTATCACTGACCTTTTTTTTATTTGAAAAAGGCTTTATAGTGCCCACATGTGGCAATGTTAATTTCGTTGTACTTGTTTCAGAGATGATAAATTTGAGACCCCAAAAGGCCCAAAGTCTCTGCTAAGGTTCTGATACAGGCTGTGTTCTCCATTGGGTGGCCCCAGAGATATGTTCCCTGAATTTCTAAAGCTACGACCCACAAGACTTCTCCAGGATGAATTTATTCTTTCAGGCCTCCTAGGCATTTAACTCAGGAAGAACCTGGCATGCCTGGGTATTGGTGAGACTGTGGGGAGTCTGTGTTCTTGGGGGAACCTGTCATCTGTCTGTTATCTCTTGGATTGGTTCCCCTACATACTAGTACAAAGTAGGGGTGGGGAGGGGAGGATAACAAAACATTTGAAGGTTTAGCAGAACTGTCTAAAAAGCCCCTAGTCTAGACTCCTCCAACACTTGATTTATTGGTAGGACCACACTGCTCCAGAGCTCAAAATGTTACCAGGAAAAATTTCAAGGTCCAGTTTGATCTTAGACAAGGCTCACAGGCCACCTGTCTTGAAAAGAATATCCTGTTGCCTCTGATGGGGGGGAAGAAAAGGCAGGGAGAGTCAGATTCCCATCCTTCATACCAAAGTTGGGGCTATATTTAGCTTTGTCTCAAATCAAATGATGGGCTACCGAGTTGTGGAGAGGAACTCTGTCTACAGGCAGCTCACTGGATTCAAGAAATGATAGCACTAACTAGGTGAGCTGTGGGGTCTCAGAAGTGACGCTAGAAAATACGTTCATGTATTTTTAAAATAACTTTTTTCAAAAGTTTATAGCACATTCATTGTAAAAACATTTGAAAAATACAGAAAGTTATATAGATTACTCAGAATACCCAGGGATCTTCAATATTAAAAATGTGTTGCATTTTTTTCCCACTCTTTAAAAAATGCATCTTTTAATCCAAACACCAACTCTTTCTTACACACATGGGTATATTCTTGAGAAGAGAAATTTCCTTGTTGTTTTAAAAATTATACTTATTGTCAAAAGAACAATCTTTTTGCGTTAGATTTCAGAAGAAAAATATTCACCCATATAACCACTGCTACAGCACAAATGTTTAAATTTCTCCAAATTCCCTTTAGTCGTTATCTATATATATTAAATATCTATTTACATAATTACGATTACAGCTTAGGTATATGTTTATATTCTCCTTCTTTCACTTAGTAAATATTTGTCCATGTTTTTAGGGAAAGTTCATAGTTATTATTCTAATGAGTGTACAATATTTTATAATATTAGTAGGACCATAGATTACTTAAAATATTCTACTATTGCATAGTTATGCTGTTTCTGATATTAGACTGTTATAAATAATGCCTTAATGAAGAGCTTTCTGCCTTTATCATTCTCCTTTTTTGAATTATGCTATGGTTGAATGTATGTATGCCTTCAAAATTCATACATTGGTACTTAATACCGAGTGTTATAGTACTACAGGGTGGGGCCTTTTAGGAATATGTCTTAGGAAGTGATAAGGCATGAACACTCCACTCTCATGAATGGGATTAGTGCTCTTAAAAAAGAGGTTGAAAGGATTGCTCTGGTCCCTTTTGTCCTCTGTCCCTCCAGCCATGTGAGGACACAGCATCTGTGGCAACAAGGAGCCATCTTGGGAGCAGAGAGCAAGCTCTTCCAGACACTGAATCTGCCAGCACCTTGATCTTGGTCCAGCCTTCAGAACTGTGAGAAATAAATTTCTATTATTCACAAATTACCCAGTCTAAGCTATTTTGCTATAGCAGCAGGAATGGACTAAAGACGATTTTCCTGGGATAAAAGGACTTTCTAATTTTATTATCTTAGCCTCAAAAGCACTAGAAATTCTCCTTTTATTTTTTTTCTTATTTAATTTGTAAATAATTGGATAGTTATATTTTAGTTCTATATCCAGCTAGTATACAAATAATGTAACACCATCTCATTTTGCTTTACATTTCTTAGAATACTAGCTAGTAAGGTCTTATTTCATATCCTTTCTTGGAAACCATATGTGTAGTAGCCAGTCTCATGAAATCCTTGTGTTGAGTCACTGTATTAGTCATCTTTTTGCTGAAACAATGCTGCTCAACAAAGAACTCCCCAATCTCAGTATTATACAACACACATCCATTTCTCCCTCAAGGATCTATAGTTTAGGTATGGATTGGTTTAAGTCTGTCGTTTTCATGGCAGAGTGCAGGAGTGCAAGAGAGTTGGCAGAGACTCATGATGACTGGTCTCTGCTCAGAACTGGCACAGTCTCGCTTCTGCCATTTTCCGTTCACCAAAGTAAGTAACATGGCCAAGTCCAAAGTCATTGGTGCAGAAAAGTACAGTCTGCCCACAGAGTGCAGGAGGGGAGAGTAATATTTGTGGAACAATAATGCAATCCACCAGTCACTGTATGTGCTGCTTTCTTGCTTTTTGTTAAGCTTTTCTCCTTGTAGATACATGGTAACTTTATTCTTCCTCATCCCATTTTAACTTAGTTATGACTTTTGAACAGTGAAATGTAACTTGTTTCGTTGGCTGAAACGTGAGAGGAAGTCTCATGTGGTCACTTCTGGGAAGAACGCAGACATTTTTAAGAGCTAGTACATAATTGGCCCTTTTCAGTTTCTGCTGTTTTATTGATCCTTGAAGATCAATAAGATGAAGCTTTCATCAACCTAAGTCCCTGAGTTACTGTGATGGTCAGAGCCTTCCTGCTAACCCTAATTGAACATGTAGAATGAGCAAGAAATTCATTTTTGTTGTATTAAGTTACTGAGATTTGGAGATTATTTATTACTGGAGCATAATCTAGCCTATCCTAACACATTGCTTTTTATTTCCATTTGGCAACCAAGTATTGTTATGTGTGTGTCTGCTCTCAGTTTTCTGGCTTAGAACTCAAATAACCGGCCGGGCGCGGTGGCTCACGCCTGTAATCCCAGCACTTTGGGAGGCCGAGGCGGGCGGATCACGAGGTCAGCAGATCGAGACCATCCTGGCTAACACGGTGAAACCCCGTCTCTACTAAAAATACAAAAAATTAGCCGGGCGAGGTGGCGGGCGCCTATAGTCCCAACTACACGGGAGGTTGAGGCAGGAGAATGGCGTGAACCTGGGAGGCGGAGCCTGCAGCGAGCCGAGATCGCGCCACTGCACTCCAACCTGGGCGACAGCGAGATTCCGTCTCAAAAAATAAATAAATAAATAAAAAGAACTCAAATAACCTGGGTAAATGATGTTGATAAATTAAACTATTCATTTTATTCTTTCCTGAGGGCACTGCTCTTAGTTTGGTCAACTGATTGTGCTTCAGGGAATACCTGAATTGATGATAAGGGACAAAAAATCGGAAGGTGTCACAGTCTTTACAGTCAGCTCCAAATATTCCAATGATACTTTTACCTTTCATTCAGTTTTTAAAATTCATTTTCCTTTTCTTCTCTCCAACTTGTTTCTGGGTAAAAAGGATTATTGATGTTGATATAGTTTACTGCATAATCTATACATCAATAATAAAAATAGCTATGTCTAATATATTTTTGCCAGATCCTCCTCTAACAATTGTGTGTGTACTAACTCTTTTCATCCTCGCAGCAGTCTTTTGAGGTAGGCTCTAGTTAATGCCCACTTTACAAATGACTAATGTGGAGCACAGGGAGGTAAATTATACTGCCCACATTCACAAAGCTGATTGATGGCAAAGCTGAGATTTGAAACCAATCAGTTTTGTTTCAGAATGGCCTGCCTAACCATTTTGCGTACTGCTTCCCTAATTTTGACACGTAACATTGGCTGGGACTTAGATAGGAGGACAATATGTCTGCAACATCTGTCACTTCAGTGATCCCTGTGATCACCTGGTTAGTCAGAACATGATGTCTTCTTGATCCGTCACAGCTCCATGTCTGTCTCTCTAACCTTGGGCTTAAAAAACAAATGCCCTTTCCAGACAAAGAGGCATCATTCTGAGATCAAGGATACAGTGTCTGTAGTAGATTAAAGATGACCACAAATTACTTGCTACTTCTCCCATTGAGAGGTGGAATCTAATTCTCCTCCCTTTAATATGGGCTACCCTTAGAGACTTACTTGACTAATAGAATACAGCAGAAGAGATGTCTGACTGGCCAGGCTAAGTAAGTAAGAAGCCTTGTAGCTTCCATGTGAGACTCTTGGGACATGTCTTCTAAGGCCTAAGCTGCTGGATAAGTCAAACTACCATGCTAGATAAACCACGTGCAGAGGCCATGAGACCACATGACAAGGGGAGGGGCCTAGCTGAGCACAACGACCAGCAGTTCCCATCAGGGTGCCAGGCATTATGTGTGAAGCAGTCTTCCATCAGCTGGACACAACTGAGCAACCCTAACTGTGGCCACTATGGAATAAATTTGCCCTGCTGAACCATGCTAGAATTATTGATTACCAAAATGATGAGATACAATAAATTGCTTATTGTGCTAAGTTTTGGAGTAGTTTACTAAGTAACAATAGATAACTGGAACTAAATTTGGTATCTGAAAGTGGACTTTCACTATAACAAAAACTGAAAACAAATGGCAATGACTTTGTACCTGGTTGCCACAGAAGTTAGAAAGGCCTCGAGAAAAATGTTAGTGAATACTGGAAGGACATCGAGGAGACTGCTGGAGAGACTGAAGGACAGTAAAGAAAATACTATGGGGGGTGGCTGAAGAAATGACCTGTGTTATGTAATGGCAGAAAGTTTTCGTCTTTGATAATGTGGGAAAATAGAAAAGGTGCCCAATGAATGGGAGGATCTGGCTAAGGAGATTTTCAGCAGAATTTCAAAACTACAAAGAGGTTTCTTTTAGCCACATTATTATCAGATATTGATTAAAAAAAAAAAGAAAAAAAAGTGGGCTAAAAAAGGAGCCATTTGGTTTTTAAGCAGAATTTAGAGGAATTATAAAGAGGCAGGACTTGCTGGGTTCAGAAGAGATCGGGTGCATTCAGGGTGGCATGGCCGTAGACTTTGCTGGGTTCAAACATCAAACTACTTCTCATCCTCAATCTCTCTAGACAGGGAAAGTTTTCAAAATAAGAAATGGCTCCAGGGCAAAAATAAATTCCAAGATGTGACAGCTAGACCCATGATTAAGACCTCAATTAAGGTGGTGCCTCATATATCCTTTCAGTTAAACAAAAAGCCTTCTACAATCTTGGGCAATGCACCTCTCCATTGGACAAAAGAGTTTCTAAGAATTTTAAGGTTCTGTTATCCCATGTCGGACTCACAGTTAGTCCAAGCAAGGTGAAAAAGCTGGCTTCAGAATGAAATGTGGGTGTGGCTTTTGCCTAGTAAAGTTCATTATCAATTAGTATATAAGACGCCTTAACATTTTTAAGTGAATTATACCAGCATGGACTGACTGAAAAGGATGAAGAGAGTACAAAGTGAAAAGATGCCTTTGGACCCTCAACCTGCCTCAGAGAAGCAGGCTGAGAAAGTTACCCAGCCAAAAACAAGGATTACTTCTTAGGGAAAAAGAAGAACGGCTCAAAGAATGGAACCAAGAGCCCAGAGGACTGATGGATAGCCAGAGGGAATCACTCCCAGGAGCAGGACTGGGCCCTAATCAAGGAACTGGTAATATGTACTCAGCTAGATTTCAAAATTGCTGTGGACTACTGACCGCTGTATGCCTCTGTTCTCTGACTCTTCGAATGGGAGTGCCTATTATGGTTATCCTATCTCTGTCCCATTGTTTCTTGGGTGTGAGAGCCCCAGTGACTTCAGATCAAGGGGAACTATACTCAAGGAGCTGAGTGCCAGGAGCCTCATCATCACCTGAATTTGAGTTAGATGGTGAGAAAGTGGACTTCTAGGCTGATGCAGTAAATGTCAGGAAACTTTTGAGGGCTTTAGGAGAGTGTGAGTTTATTTTGCTTGTGGTAATAATGTCTGTGGCCAGAGGAAAAGGAATGTGGTAGATTCAAGATGGCTACAAATTTTTTGCTACTTCTCTTATTCAGAGGTAGAATCTAATTCCCCTCCCTTGGATCTAAGCTGGTCTTCATGACTTGCTTGACCAATAGAATGCAGTTCTAGGCCATAAACTCCTGAACCTGGGCAATAAGAAACCTTGCAGTTTCCAGTAGGCCTCTTGATATACTGAGCTGCCATGAAAGAAATCCGACTACCTTGCTGGAGCTATAGAGAGGAGAGGTCTTGAGGCCACCAGCAGTCCTCAAAGGCATCAGGCACACAATATAAGTGAAGTTACCTGGGACCTCCAGAGCAGCCCTGCCTTCCACTGAATACCAGCAAGTGACCCAGTCAATACTGCATGGGGAAAACAAATTGCTCAGCTGAGACCTGTCCAAATTACTGACCCACAAAATCATAAGATACAATAAAATGGTTGTTTTGAGCTACTGAATTGTGGGGTAGATTGTTTATGCAGGAATAGACAACTGAGATCATGCCTTAAAATGGACACAGTATTTCTGATGCATTATCTCATTCATTCATCCAATAAATAATTACTGTGAACCATTATGTGTCAGGCACTACTCTTTATTCTAGAGACACAGTAGTTTAAAAAAAGGCCAGCAAAGACCCTGTTTTCATGGAGCTTACAATCTACTGGTTTAGATAGATAATAAGTAAAGGAATAACTACAATATGCCAGATGGTGATAAGGGCGATAAAGATAAGTGAAGCATGTCAAGGGAGCATCCCAGCAAGACAACCCTCTTTTTATAGAAGAGAAAACAGAGTCTTAGAAAGATTAAATAATAGGCAGTAAGAGAAGCAAGTTCCTAGGTACAATGAAACTGGAGTTTCACTTGATGAAACACTGTTCAATAGAATTTATAAATTCAAATTGTTGTTTAGCACAACAGAGGAACCTAATAGGCAGAAGTGTGGCTTGGATGGATGTTCCTGACTACCCAGGCTGTCCAAGTAAACTGTTGTATATACAAGAATGAAAAGATCTGAGGTGGAGCCAAGGTGGCCAAATAGGAACAGCTCCAGTCTAGAGCTCCCAGCGTGAGCGATGCAGAAGACGGGTGATTTCTGCCTTGCCAACTGAGGTACTGGGGAGTGTCAGAAAGTGGGTGCAGGGCAGTGGGTGCACTGCACCCAGCATGAGCCAAAGGAGGGCGAAGCATCACCTCACCCGGGAGGCACAAGAGGTCAGGGAATTCCCTTTCCTAGTCAAAGAAAGGGGTGACAGATGGCACCTGGAAAATCGGGTCACTCCCACCCTAATAATGCACTTTTCCAACAGTCTTAGCAAACGGCACACCAGGAGATTATATCCCGTGCATGGCTCGGGGGGTCCTACGCCCATAGAGCCTCCCTCATTGCTGGCACAGCAGACTGAGATCGAACTGCAAGGCGGCAGCGAGGCTGGGGGAGGGGCGCCTGCCATTGCCGAGGCTGGAGTAGGTAAACAAAGCAGCCTGGAAGCTCGAACTGGGTGGAGCCCACTGCAGCTCAAGGAGGCCTGCCTGCCTCTGTAGACTGCACCTCTGGGGGCAGGGAATAGTCAAACAAAAGGCAGCAGAATCCTCTGCAGACTTAAATGTCCCTGTCTGACAGCTTTGAAGAGAGTAGTGGTTCTCCCAGCACACAGCTTGAGATCTGAGAATGGACAGACTGCCTCCTTAGGTTGGTCCCTGACTCCCAAGTAGCCTAACTGGGAGGCCCCCCCTCCAGTAGGGGCAGACAGACACCTCACATGGCCGGGAACTCCTCTGAGACAAAACTTCCAGAGGAACGATCAGGCAGCAACATTTGCTGCTCACCAGTATCTGCTGTTCTGCAGCCTCCGCTGCTGATACCCTGGCAAACAAGGTCTGGAGTGACCTCAAGCAAACTCCAACAGACCTGCAGCTGAGGGTCCTGACTGTTAGAAGGAAAACTAACAGACAGAAAGGACATCCACACCAAAACCCCATCTGTACATCACCATCATCAAAGACCAAAGGTAGATAAAACCACAAAGATGGGGAAAAATAGAGCAGAAAAACTGGAAACTCTAAAAATCAGAGTGCCTTTCCTCCTCCAAAGGAATGCAGCTCCTCGCCAGCAATGGAACAAAGCTGGATGGAGAATGACTTTGACAAGTTGAGAGAAGAAGGCTTCAGACGATCAAACTACTCTGAGCTAAAGGAGGAAGTTCGAACCCATGGCAAAGAAGTTAAAAACCTTGAAAAAAAATTAGACGAATGGCTAACTAGAATAACCAATACAGAGAAGTCCTTAAAGGACCTGATGGAGCTGAAAACCAAGGCACGAGAACTACGTGACAAATGCACAAGCCTCAGTAGCCGATTCCATCAACTGGAAGAAAGGGTATCAGTGATGGAAGATGAAATGAATGAAATGAAGCAAGAAGAGAAGTTTAAAGAAAAAAGAATAAAACGAAATGAACAAAGCCTTCAAGAAATATGGGGCTATGTGAAAAGACCAAATCTACGTCTGATTGGTGTACCTGAAAGTGACGGGGAGAATGGAACCAAGTTGGAAAACACTCGGCAGGATAATATCCAGGAGAACCTCCCCAATCTAGCAAGGCAGGCCAACATTCAAATTCAGGAAATACAGAGAATGCCACAAAGATACTCCTTGAGAAGAGCAACTCCAAGACAAATAATTGTCAGATTCACCGAAGTTGAAATGAAGGAAAAAATGTTAAGGGCAGCCAGAGAGAAAGGTCGGGTTACCCTCAAAGGGAAGCCCATCAGACTAACAGCGGATCTCTTGGCAGAAACTCTACAAGCCAGAAGAGAGTGGGGGCTAATATTCAACATTCTTAAAGAAAAGAATTTTCAACCAGAATATCATATCCAGCCAAATGAAGCTTCATAAGTGAAGGAGAAATAAAATACTTTACAGACAAGCAAATGCGGAGAGATTTTGTCACCACCAGGCCTGCCCTAAAAGAGCTCCTGAAGGAAGCACTAAACATGGAAAGGAACAACCGGTACCAGCCACTGCAAAAACATGCCAAATTGTAAAGACCATCAAGGCTAGGAAGAAACTGCAGCAACTAACAAGCAAAATAACCAGCTAACATCATAATGACAGGATCAAATTCAAACATAACAATATTCACCTTAAATGTAAGTGGGCTAAATGCTCCAAGTAAAAGACACAGAATGGCAAATTGGATAAAGAGTCAAGACCCATCAGTGTGCTGTATTCAAGAAACCCGTCTCACATGCAGAGACACACATAGGCTCAAAATAAAGGGATGGAGGAAGATCTACCAAGAAAATGGAAAACAAAAAAATGCAGGGGTTGCAATCCTAGTCTCTGATAAAACAGACTTTAAACCAACAAAGATCAAAAGAGACAAAGAAGGCCATTACATAATGGTAAAGGGATCAATTCAACAAGAAGAGCTAACTATCCTAAATATATATGCACCCAATACAGGAGCACCCAGATTGATAAAGCAAGTCCTTAGAGACCTAGAAAGAGACTTAGACTCCCACACAATAATAATGGGAGACTTTAACACCCCACTGTCAACAGTAGACAGATCAACGAGACAGAAACTCAACAAGGATATCCAGGAATTGAACTCAGCTCTGCACCAAGTGGACCTAATAGACATCTACAGAACTCTCCACCACAAATCAACAGAATATACATTCTTCTCAGCACCACACCGCACTTATTCCAAAATTGACCACATATTTGGAAGTAAAGCACTCCTCAGCAAATGTAAAAGAACAGAAATTATAATAAACTGTCTCTCAGACCACAGTGCAATCAAACTAGAACTCAGGATTAAGAAACTCACTCAAAACCGCTCAACTACATGGAAACTGAATAACCTGCTCCTGAATGACTACTGGGTACATAATGAAATGAAGACAGAAATGAAGATGTTCTTTGAAACCAACGAGAACAAAGACACAATGTACCAGAATCTCTGGGACACATTCAAAGCAGTGTGTAGAGGAAAATTTATAGCACTAAATGCCCACAAGAGAAAGCAGGAAAGATCTAAAATTGACACCCTAACATCACAATTAAAAGAACTAGAGAAGCAAGAGCAAACACATTCAAAAGCTAGCAGAAGGCAAGAAATAACTAAGATCAGAGCAGAACTGAAGGAAATAGAGACACAAAAAACCCTTCAAAAAATCAATGAATCCAGGAGCTGGTTTTTTGAAAGGATCAACAAAATTGATAGACCGCTAGCAAGACTAATACAGAAGAAAAGAGAGAAGAATCAAATAGATGCAATAAAAAACGATAAAGGGGATATCACCACCGATCCCACAGAAATACAAACTAACATCAGAGAATACTATAAACACCTCTATGCAAATAAACTAGAAAATCTAGAAGAAATGGATAAATTCCTCGACACATGAACCCTCCCAAGACTAAACCAGGAAGAAGTTGAATCTCTGAATATACCAATAACAGGCTCTGAAATTGAGGCAATAATTAACAGCTTACCAACCAAAAAAAGTCCAGGAACAGATGGATTCACAGCCGAATTCTATCAGAGGTACAAGGAAGAGCTGGTACCATTCCTTCTGAAACTATTCCAATCAATAGAAAAAGAGGGAATCCTCTCTAACTTATTTTATGAGGCCAGCATCATCCTGATACCAAAGCCTGGCAGAGATACAACAAAAAAAAGAGAATTTTAGACCAATATCCCTGATGAACATCGATGCAAAAATCCTCAATAAAATACTGGCAAACCGAATCCAGCAGCACATCAAAAAGCTTATCCACCATGATCAAGTGGGCTTCATCCCTGGGATGCAAAGGCTGGTTCAACATATGCAAATCAATAAACGTAATCAGCATATAAACAGAACCAGTGACAAAAACCATATGTTTATCTCAATAGATGCAGAAAGGCCTTTGACAAAATTCAACAACGCTTCATGCTAAAAACTATCAATAAATTAGGTATGGATGAGACATATCTCAAAATAATAAGAGCTATCTATGACAAACCCACAGGCAATATCATACTGAATGGGCAAAAACTGGAAGCATTCTCTTTGAAAACTGGCACAAGACAGGGATGCCCTCTCTCACCACTCCTATTCAACATAGTGTTGGAAGTTCTGGCCAGGGCAATCAGGCAGGAGAAGGAAATAAAGGGCATTTAATTAGGAAAAGAGGAAGTCAAATTGTCCGTTTGCAGACGACATGATTGTATATCTAGAAAACCCCATCATCTCAGCCCAAAATCTCCTTAAGCTGATTGGCAACTTCAGCAAAGTCTCATGATACAAAATCAATGTGCAAAAATCACAAGCATTCTTATACACCAGTAAAAGACAAACAGCCAAATCATGAGTGAACTCCCATTCACAATTGCTTCAAAGAGAATAAAATACCTAGGAATCCAACTTACAAGGGATGTGAAGGACCTCTTCAAGGAGAACTGCAAACCACTGCTCAATGAAATAAAAGAGGATACAAAGAAATGGAAGAACATTCCATGCTCATGGACAGGAAGAATCAATATCGTGAAAATGGCCATGCTGCCCAAGGTAATTTATAGATTCAATGCCATCCCCATCAAGCTACCAGTGACTTTCTTCACAGAATTGGAAAAAACTACTTTAAAGTTCATATGGAACCAAAAAAGAACCCGCATTGCCAAGTCAATCCTAAGCCAAAAGAACAAAGCTGGAGGCATCACGCTACCTGACTTCAAACTATACTACAAGGCTACAGTAACCAAAACAGCATGGTACTGGTACCAAAACAGAGATTTTTGGTAAACAAAACAGACCAATGGAACAGAACAGAGCCCTCAGAAATAATGCCACATATCTATAACCATCTGATCTTTGACAAACCTGATAAAAACAAGCAATGGGGAAATGATTCCCTGTTTAATACACGGTGCTGGGAAAACTGGCTAGCCATATGTAGAAAGCTGAAACTAGATCCCTTCCTTACACCTTATACAAGAATTAATTCGAGATGTATTAAAGACTTAAATGTTAGACCTGAAACCATAAAAACCCTAGAAGAAAACCTAGGCAATACCATTCAGGACATAGGCATGGGCAAGGACTTCATGTCTAAAACACCAAAAGCAATGGCAAGGAAAGCCAAAATTGACAAATGGGATCTAATTAAACTAAAGAGCTTCTGCACAGCAAAGAAAACTACCATCAGAGTGAACAGGCCCTACAGAATGGGAGAAAATTTTTGCAATCTACTTATCTGACAAAGGGCTAATATCCAGAATCTACAATGAACTCAAACAAATTTACAAGAAAAAAACAAACAACCCCATCAACAAGTGGGCGAAGGATATGAGCAGACACTTCTCAAAAGAAGACATTTATGCAGCCAACAGACACAGGAAAAAAGGCTCATCATCACCGGCCATCAGAGAAATGCAAATCAAAACCACAATGAGATACCATCTCACACCAGTTAGAATGGCGATCATTAAAAAGTCAGGAAAAAACAGGTGCTGGAGAGGATGTGGAGAAATAGGAACACTTTTACATTGTTGGGACTATAAACTAGTTCAACCATTGTGGAAGTCAGTGTGGTGATTCCTCAGGGATCTAGAACTAGAAATACCATTTGACCCAGCAATCCCATTACTGGGTATATACCCAAAGGATTATAAATCATGCTGCTATAAAGACACATGCACACGTATGTTTATTGCGGGACTATTCACAATAGCAAAGACTTGGAACCAAGTCAAATGTCCATCAATAATAGACTGGATTAAGAAAATCTAGCACATATACACCATGGAATACTAGGCAGCCATAAAAAATGATAAGTTCATGTCCTTTGTAGGGACATGGATGAAGCTGGAAACCATCATTCTCAGCAAACTATCACAAGGACAAAAAAACCAAATACTGCATGCTCTCACTCATAGGTGGGAATTGAACAATGAGAACACATAGACACAGGAAGGGGAACATCACACACTGGGGCCTGTTTGGGGTTGGGGGGCGGGGGAGGGATAGCATTAGGAGATATACCTAATGTAAATAACGAGTTAATGGGTGCAGCTCACCAGCATGGCACATGTATACATATGTAACTAACCTGCATGTTGTGCACATGTACCCTAGAACTTAAAGTATAAAAAAAAAAAAAAAGAATGAAAAGATCTGCCCTTCAGTAGCTGGAGTGGAATGGGGCAGGAGGGTTTGGAGGAGGATGTGTGGCTCTGAAGACTATACATAGTAGGCAAAGTGCCAGCTGTGACTCGGAACAACCAAAATCAGGACCAGGAGCAGTTTAGAAGAGAAAACAATTCTTGGAAAAAGCAGAAGTATTTGTGGGGTACAGGGGAATTTGTAAGGGACTTAATTTCCTAAGTGAACAGGTAGGAGTTCAGAGGCAGCTAATGCTCACGGGACTTAATTTTATTTCCACAGTTGGTAAAACTCAAGGACAGTGTGGTTACCTTCATTCATTTAATTAAACAAACACAGAGCATGTGCTAGGCATTGCTAAAATCTAGTGTAGAAATCCAGTGTTAAAATCTAGTGTGGAAAGCCAGGCAAGCATTCATCAAACCATAATACAAACCAGATCGGGTAAAGTGCTACACCAAGCAGAACATGAAGGAGGGAGTGATTAATTAAATTCCACCAGAGAAGTTTTTCTAAAGAAGGTAGCATCTGAGTAGAGTACTGAAGTATGCTAGCAATATAAAATTTTATCATACATTGGGATTGCAAAATACAGTGCTTTTATTTAAAATTAAAAAATATTATTAGCTTGTTTTCATCATTCCACAGTATATGCATATATCAAAACATTGTACCCCATAAATATATGCAATTACTATTTGTCAATTAAAAAATTAACTTAAAAACAGTATTGATGAAAACAATTTTATTTTTCTCTGGTAGAAGGAAAAATATTCCCTGTCTCCTGTGAGTGAGTGCCTAAGGTCCCATTCATCTGAAAGAGCGGTGCAGCGCAGCTGAGGTTGCTGGCAGGCATTACAACAGAGCAGTTAAGATTACTGGCTCTACAGTCAGGGACATGGGTTCCAATCCTCCTCCTCTGTCAATTTCCAACCATGCAATTTTGGACATGACTTAAACTCTGTGCTTTAGCTTCCTCATTTGTAAAACAAGGTTAATGATAATAACTACCTAATAGGGCCACTGTAAGAACAAAATGAGCTAATATATGAAAAGTTTTTAATTCATTGTCTAGCACATTTTAAGCATTCTATAAATCATAGCTATTTTTCATTAATGTTTGCATACCAGGCAGGACTCCAATACTGTGTAGAAGTCATGAATTTTAATTTCAGTTCTGCTCCAAAGTGCTCCCTAGGGCTAGGCCAGTGACCCAGATTTTCCATTTCTCATCTTTCTGATTTATCATGTGAGACCAAAGCATTGGCAAGGAAGCTGAATAAGTGGATTTCCTCACTTGCTGGCTGGAGGTCTAGGGAGCAGAAAAGGTGGACATTTCCCCCATCTTGTATCTGTCTTGAGGAAGTGTGTGTGTGTGAGTGTGTGTGTGTGTGTGTGTTTATGCAGGAATAGACAACTGGGACAATGCCTTAAAATGTACACAGTATTTCTGATGCATTATCTCATTCATTCGTTCATTCATTCATTCATTCAATAAATGATTACTGTGAACCGTGTGTGTGTGTTTATTCAGATCCATCCCTTTCAATGGTTAGCCTTGTCTGTCAGCCATAACAAAAACCTCAAACCTCAAGGAAAGAAATTACAACCAAGCCTTCAGATAGCTGGTGGTAATTTACTCACACAATCCCCTTTATCCTTTCAACACCCACTATTTATCTGTATCTGACGTTGGGAGAGGGGAAATCATGCAAGAAATATGGTATGTAAATTTCTGGAAAGGGGGTTGGAATAGTGAGGGAAGACTTGTGTGAATTACATGAATAATTCTCCTTGATTTGAACATAGATATCAGATCTCAAAAATTGAAGGGACTGATGTTGGGGTCAATAAATACATTTCTGGGACCAGAAACAATACTGGAATAAATTCATAAATAGCTTTCAAGGCATTCATGACAATCACACCATCGCTAAAATCCGAGTCATTTTCCAGGATGGGGCAAGTAGTTCCAGTACAAGTCAAAGGAGCATGTGTCAATCAATCCAGACTGCTTTAAAAATCCATAGTGATAACAATAACTAAATGGAATGCATGATCCTAGTTCAGATCTTGGATTGGATTCTGAATTAGAAAAAAAAAATATTGCTGCCACGTTCAGTGGCTCATGCCTATAATTTCAACACTTCAGGAGGCTGAGGCAGGAGGATCACTTAAGGCCAGGAGTTCGAAACCAGCCTGTGCAACATAGCGAGATCTTGTCTCTACAAAAAAAAATTTAAAAATTATCTAGGGATGGTAGTGCAAACCACTAGTCCCAGTTACTCTGGAGGCTGAGGTGGGAGGATCACTTGAGCCCAGGAGTTGAGCCTACAGTGAACTGTAATCACACCACTGCACTCCAGCCTGGGTGACAGTGAGCAAGACCCTGTCTCTTAAAAAAAAGAAAAAATACCTCTAAGGACAAGATAGCCATATATATCCATGGTCCTTGCCTTTGTTTCTTGTATCATGCCATCTACTAGCTGGTCCCTGAAGCCATATATAATAACTTTCACTCATACACACATATGAGTGAAAAGTAACACTGATTTTTTTAACTTTCCAGCTTGAAAAATTTAAAATTTTCAACATATAGTAAAGTTGTAAAACTAGCACAATAAAGTCCTGTAAATCTTTCAATTGCTTCATAGATCGTTCACATTTTGCCACATTTGTTTTCTCTCTTTACACACACACACACACACACACAAGCACACAGACACAAACATTAGTATTATTTTGATGAACCATTTGAGAGTAAGATGTAGATTCTTCACCCCTAAATATTTAATGTGTATCTCCGAAGAATATTTAAAATCGTTGCATAACTGTATTATGTAAAAGAATATAACACCCTTGGCCGGGCATGGTGGCTCACGCCTATAATCCCAGCACTTTGGGAGGCCAAGGCGGGGGGATCACAAGGTCAGGAGATCGAGACCATCCTGGCTAACACGGTGAAACCCCATCTCTACTAAAAATACAAAAAATTAGCTGGACGTGGTGGCGGGTGCCTGTGGTCCCAGCTACTCGGGAGGCTGAGGCAGGAGAATGGCGTGAATCCGGGAGGCAGAGCTTGCAGTGAGCTGAGATCGTCCCATTGCACTACAGCCTGGGTGACAGAGTGAGACTCTGTCTCAAAAAAAAAAAAAAAAAAAAGAATATAACACCCTTTTCAGGTCAGCTTTTATCACTATTAAGCAGAACACTTTACATCATAATCTGAAGTCTCAGCAGTGAATTACTTAACTAAAATCAGGAGCTACCCTCTGCTAGATATTTGGCTCACATCTGTACAACCAAAAGTGCTGATCAAAATAATCACTCCCAGGACAAAGGCAAAATATACAACAAAGACAAATTCCCTCTTCTATGCACCAGCCAATTTCTTGGCAGTTTAGAACAGCTGTTTTGTCCTTTCTTCCAGCTGGCAAAGGTTCAAAAATATCAAGATACAGCCTCAGAAAGCTTCACACGAGGAAGAAATTTTAATGAGAAAAATCTCATGTTCTGTATTCGCTTTTGTTTTCATTTTTATTTTAGCATATAAAATGTCAAAATACTGAGCTGTTGAGTACCGTATCAAATATCTGGCAATTCTGGACAAAAGGTGAGCAAAACTCAACAGTCCTTTATCTTTGCAAAGTTCAAGTGGCTTTAGGAGTTAATGCCATAGGGGTAGGGTGCCACGCCTCATGCCTGTAATCCCAGCACTGTCAGAGGTGAGGCAGGCAGATGGCTTGAGCACAGTAGTTCGAGACCAGCCTGGGCAACATGTGAAACCCATCTCTACAAAAAATACAACAAAAATTAGCCAGGCGTGCTGGTGCACATCTGTAGTCCCAGCTACTCAGGAGGCTGAGGTAGGAAAGTGGCTTGAGCCTGGGAGGCAGAGGTCACAGTGAGTGGAGACTGTGCCACTGCGCTCCAGCCTGGGTGAAAGAGCCAGACGCCGTCTCAAAAACCAAAACAAAACATTATATCAGTTTGGTAAAAGAACAAGCACATCCAACATTAACCATCACAATTCCTTTCGACCAGAATAATCTTTTATTCAGATAAAAGTATCCCAGTTTTAGGCTATGCGTGTGATATAATAATAACAGACAGAGAGGTACAGAAATACCCAAGCTGGCCCAGGCTCAGAGCTTGTGGTATACAGAAGAGAATTATTGCATCCTTTATTTGCTGGCTTCGGTACATTCTTAGGAGATAGAGGGAGGGAAAAAAAAATCCAAACCAGAAGGGTCTGGTGCTGATGGACCAGATCAATTGGTTCAAACTTTGATTCAACTGTTAAGGTATTCAGGGCTGGAACTAGGATGAGAGGAGCAAGGCACTCACCTGAGGTGCGAAGTTTAAAGCGTGCCAAAATCTTGGTAATCAAGATAAATCATATTTTAATGCAATATTTTAGAAAAATAGTAATGCAAAAAAAATCCACAATGAACAAAATATCAAAACTTTAAATAAAGACAGGATCTGACCCTGCATTTTCATGATTCAGGGAGTGTCTTACTTGCTTCGTCCTAGTCCAGGCCCAACTTGTTCATCCCCAGATGATGTGCCAAAAGCCACATCTTTAGGTGTCTCCTCTGGTGCTCTCTAGTGCTATGTTCTGCTGACCTTGTTGGCAACAGCTCTCTGTCTGTTATGAATGGTTGGACATCAGGTGGCACCTTTAAGATACCACAAGGTAAAAGCAACTCTCTGAGCCAAGGCCAGCTCTTCCAACCTCCTTCCAAACAGTCTTACATCTCAAGGGCAAGTTTCTGTGATGTATAGGGCATCAGGGAGAGGGTAGAATGGGGTAGAAAGGGGAGATAATGGGAGAGGGAAAAAAGAACAGGTGACCTCATGAGTTGGCACTAATGTAACTAGAGTGCAATTTTTCAAGAGTCTATCTTTTTAAAGAAAACCTTGAGCCCCAACTCTTATTTGGAGGCACCTGCTCACTCACCTCCAAAACCAAATCCACCTCACCTCTATTCTTCTTTTCACATTGTGTACGGGTAGTTCTGGAAATCAAAGTGGCCATGCTGCTTCCTCCATGCAGCCTGTAGTGAATTCAAGTAGTGTAGGATACTTCAAACTGGAGCTTCTCTACTGTGAATAGCTGCTCATCCCCAAGTACCAAACCTAATTTTGTGACAATGAAAACCATCTGCAGGTGCCCCCTGCTGGTGGTACTATCCTAGAGACTTGCCTTCACTGATGTATTTTGTTTGGTCAATGGTCCAGAAAGTCACAGTCACAGTCACCAACACTATTCCCTATGCCCTTACACCTAAGCAGGTTCACTTATTTATGCTACCCGCCAGGCACCTGCAGGTGTGTGGCATTTGCATCTTCCTTCTATGGCTTCCTAGTTCCTCATGGTGGGAACCTGGGACCCGACTTCTTGCCTCTCAAACTATTAATATGTCTGCCTCACAGGGCCAGGCACTTCTCTAGTCTTGAGTCACCCATGTCATTCTTTTAACCTACCCTCGGGTAGGACACTGGAGCCATAGATGTGAACCTTAGCCTTTAAGGCACGCAAGAAGACACTGAAGTCCCCAGGGCCAGTCACTGCCAGCAATGTCTTCCAGCGGTGGTTGAAGGGATGACTGAGGCAAGCAGAGTCTGAGTTTGTTATTGTTCTGAGGATATAGACAAAAATCTTTAATAAGGCTTACATAGCTTGGCATAGTCTTCAGCCTCAGCTCTGGTTATACTCCCCCTTCCCTTTTGTGCTTAGTTTGTACTAGTCTTGTTCCAGAAGAAGAAAGAGAGAACTAATTCTGCTGCTCCTCTGGTGTCCAGGAGCTCAGGTAATGGATGCAGACTGTAATAGGCAGTCTCTAAGTTGGTCCCCAGTGATCCCTGGTCATCAAACCCTTGTGTAATTCCCTCGCCTTGAGTCTGGGATGGATCTAGTACTCATTTGTAATGAATACAGTAGGGCAGCAGTGATGGAATGTTGCTTCCGAGATTAGATTATTTTTTAAAAAGCAAAAACAACTGTGGCTTCCATTTGGAGTATGCATGCTCTCTTTCTTTTAGATCAGTTGTGCTGGGGGAACTAAGCTACCGTGTTATAAGCAGACCTATTGTGTGGACAGGAACTAAAGCCTGCCAAATACCGTGTGCGTGAGTCTGAAAACGGACCTTTCAGCCCCTGTCGAGTCTTGAGATGACAGCAGCCCCAGCTGAGTGCTTGACTGCAACCTCATGAGAGAACTTGAGGCAATTCTAACCAGCTAAGCTGCTCCCAGATTTCTGACCCTCCAAAACTGTGAGTACTAAATACTTGCAGTTTTCAGCCACTGAGGTGATTTGCTATGCAGCAATAGTAATAGTAACAAACACACAGACTTCTGAACCTTTCCCCAATCCAAGGTCATTCTGTGGAGTTAGAGACCCAGCTCTCCCATTCACAAAGAAGCTATTATTCTCTCTACAGTAAAGAAAGACAAAGAAGTCAGAGCAGTTTTTTAACGCTGCACATCAGGAAACTAGATGTATGCTGAAAATTTGAGAGTGATAAGTAGGACCTTTCCCAGTCTGTAGAATATACCACCAAAGCATGCTCACTCGAGAATGTGCTTTTGATTACTACCAAGCACACTTTTTTTTCTTTTTGAAGATATGTGCAAACAATGAAAACCCTTCTTGCTGAAATTACAATACAGCCGTACATTTTGGTTGAAATGTTTATTTGGAGATTTCAAAGTCAAGGTTGATATAGCCAAAAGATAATACAGATTAGACTATCATGGAAACAAAAAGAATCTAAAATTTGATATTGTTTGTACACTAGGGTCACCGCTCATGTTAACATTTCCTTCATTGCATCCACTTTCTCGGAGCTGGTGTTGTAGGGTTAGATGTGAGTGTGAATGAGCATGCGTACAGTGGACAAAATCCCCCCATTCTGTAAATGCATGTGCCTATTATTCTGGGCAGTGAACCCAGCCTGCTTTAAGTCTTTGTTATTTGAATAGTGTCCCAGATTCTCCTTTGAAATGTGCGGTTCACCTATTTTTATTAACCTTAATATGGAGCTTTCTGATGCTTTTTTGATAGATTCTTGGTCGTGCCCAGGTACACTTCCTTTCGTTTTAAACAGGTCATATATTTCTCTGTGCTGGCCTTCAGGTGGTGTGCCATATAAATTAGAAAGCAAATTTTCACAAGGTCAAATTTTAATCATGCAGCTTAGTATTTTTAAACAGATGACATTTTCATACTTGGTATGCTAACTTGAAGACCAGACCATTTTTGCCCAAGTTCTACCAAAGGTTTTCGTTTTACAGTCTTCATTTGTTTTGTTTTGGTTTACTTTTTAACAAAAAGCAAACCTAGGAAAAAATTTTAAAAACATACAAGATGCACAAAAACAATTACTCTAATACACATGAAACAGAAAATCAACACCTGCCAATTAAACACAACTTCTACCATTTCATAACTGTGTGATCTTGTCAAATTACTTAACCTCTCTATAAAACGGGATCACGATAGCATCTTTCTCACAGAATTATAGTGAGAATTAAATAATATTATTCTTATGAAATGTTTAAGATAGGGCCTAGCATTTATCATTTACTCAATAAATATTAATCATGTAATTATATATGTAATTATGGTGATAATGATAATGTTGCTGCCATGAGATGTCAGGTTTCACAATATAAAATCATTACAGAATTCTGTTTGGAACTCCTGTGAGACCTAGTATGAATCACCTATAGTTATGAGGCTGCTCTAGCAAATAAATCTAAGAGAACAGGCAACTTCATGAAGAGGTTAAAGTGTCCTAGGGCAGTGGTCTCCAACCCTTTTGGTACCAGGAACCATTTTCAAGGAAGACAACTTTTCCATGGACAGGGTGGGGGATGGATTTGGAATGATCATCAGGTATTAGATCCTCATAAGAAGCAGGCAACCTAGATCCTTCATATGCCCAGTTCACAATAGGGTTCCCGTTCCTATGAGAATTGAATGCAGCTGCTGGTCTGCTGATCGACAGGAGGTGGAGCTCAGGGGTAATGCTCGCTGGCCTGCCACTCACCTCCTGCTATGCAGCCGGGGTCCTAACAGGCCAGGACCAGTACCAGTCCATGCTCTGGGGGCTGGGGACCCCTGTTCTAGGGAAATACCATCACCATGTCTGCTACCCCTCCCACCGTGGGCGCTACCACCATTTGGTCACCATATGCAACCCTGTGTGAAGATATTCCTAATACTATCCAGGGTCCTTTTCATTTGAGTGACCTCTATCTCTTTGTCCCACCATCTAACTCCCACCCTCATAATGACTGGGGAGAAAACCTCCACCAGGGTGAAGCAAAAAACCTCAAACAGAGGCTTCAAACAAAACTTAATATAAAGACTCCAACCATGAAGTTGTCTCTTTTTATCCCCCAGTTATCTTCTTTGTTGGTTTTGTTTTCGGGATCTGCAGGGTACCAAGTTATCTGCTAGAAGGCTCAGTCCTTCTCTTCTTACCAGCCCCGCTGCTACCGCCATGATGTAAATCGCTATGATCTCACATTGGTGTTACTTACTGCAATAGCCAGCAAAGCAGCTCCCTTCCTTCCACTCTTGGCCTCCTAAGGTCTGTTTTCCAATAGCAAAGTGACTTTTTAATATTTTTCAGATCATATGATGTTCCTGTTTTAAATCTTCATTGGCTTCCCCATGTCCTTAGAATAACATCCACTTCTTACCACGGCCTATGAGGTCTCAGGTGACCTGGCTCAGGTTCACCTCTGCCCCCTCCTCTTATTTATTATGCTCCAGCTGCACTGGCCATTTTCTTCCTCAAACACACTAAGCTTATTTCTACCTTAGGGGTTTTGCAGTTCTTTCACCTCCTGCTTTAATTCCTCTCTAACGAAGTTTTTTTAAAATAAACTTTATTAATATCAGAAATCACTTTATTTGTATATTTATTTATTTGTTTTCTGTCTACGTCCTCACTGAGCCTTTATCCAATAATCTTGTTCCTCATTTTATTCTAGCACCTAGTATTGTGCCTGCCATTCCATATATACCTTTTGGAAAGATCAGTGAACAGACTCCAGCTATACTATTTTTTAAAATAGGATTTACTGGAAGAGGAGACCCACAGAATCAAAGGAACAGTTGAAGACTCAAAAGAACAGGCTCAGAAGGGGCAGGAATAGGGAGCGGCAGGAACAGGGGAAGCAATTAGGATCTAGGTAGCAAGAAGGGGCCGATTGGTTCTGGCCACTTTTTTCTACTCTCATGTTGTTCCACTGATGATGCAATGCTCAAAAAATCAGATCATTGGGAGGCCGAGGCGGGCGGATCACGAGGTCAGGAGATCGAGACCATCCTGGCTAACACGGTGAAACCCCGTCTCTACTAAAAATACGAAAAATTAGCCGGGCGAGGTGTCGGGTGCCTGTAATCCCAGTTACTCTGGAGGCTGAGGCAAGACAATGGCGTGAACCCCAGGGGGCGGAGCCTGCAGTGAGCCGAGATCGCCCCACTGCACTCCAGCCTGGGTAACAGCGAGACTCCGCCTCAAAAATAAATAAATAAATAAATAAATAAAAAATCAGATCATCCTCGTGTGGGTCTCAAGATTATCATTTAGCTCGGGATACCTTAAACAAACTTCCCACCAAGACTATAAACCATGGCAAAGAAGACAATTCTAGCCACCCCCCCCCCCAAAAAAAGTAGGGCTATTGTCCAAAGAAGGGAGGAATGGACACACCCACAGTCAAAAACCCAAAACAAAACAAAAGTCTGCAATAATCTCTGACTTGACATTTTGTCATCTAGAAGACAACTACTTTCTTTCTTTTTTTTTTTTTTTTTTTTTTTTGAGATGGAGTTTCCAGGCTGGAGTGCAGTGGCGCGATCTGGCTCACTGCAACCTACGCCTCCTGGGTTCAAGTGATTCTCCTGCCTCAGCCTCCTGAGTAGCTGGGATTACAGGCGCCTGCCACCACGCCTGGCTAATTTTTTGTATTTTTAGTAGAGAGGGGGTTTCACCATTTTGGCCAGGCTGGTCTCAAACTCCTGACTTCAGGTGATCTGCCCCGCTAGGCCTCCC